>NC_000005.10:165155263-165458293 GCF_000001405.40 Homo sapiens
CCTTTTCTTTTTTGAGATGGAGTCTCTCTCTTTCACCCAGGCTTGAGTGCAGTGGTACAATCTCAGCAACCTCCGCCTCCTGGGTTCAAGCAATTCTCCTGTGTCAGTCTCCTGAGTAGGTAGCACTACAGGCGCCCGCCACTGCGCCCAGTTAATTTTTTATTTTTAGTAGAGATGGGGTTGCACCATATTGGTCAGGCTGGTCTCAAACTCCTGACTTCAGGTGATCCACCTCCCTCAGCCTCCCAAAGTGCTGGGATTACAGGCATGAGCCACCGCGCCCAGCCATGTAGCTTTAAATATACATTAAAGATAGGCCATAAGCTTGCATAGCAAAATGGTAATGGTAGTTTTCCCATGCTACTGTGATAAAGGAAATTTTCACTTTCTTCTATTTTTCTGTATTTTTCATGCATTTCTACACTGGCCTTGGGTTACTTTTTAAATAATAATTGAGATAAAAGTGAACTTGAGAAGCAGAAACAAAAAAGACTTTAGAGGTTAACAAGTGCCAGGTTATGATAATTCTTTCATTATTTAAGCAATGGAGAACAATTGGAAGTACCAAACAAGAGAATTATTTTTTTCATAACTCATTGTCTAATGCTAATGTGACCTGTGTGCACATATACGTGATTTCCTTCAAGGTGATAATGTGGTCTTTGAGTGTTGGGAATTTCTCACACATCTTTCTACACACAGAACCATATACGTAGTCAATGGTAAATACATTAGACAATCCTTGTGTATGAAATCAAAAACTCTGTAGAAAATTAGCATTTATCTAGATTTTGCAAGTACTTCCCAGTCCAATATTTGAAACAATATGTAATTGACTTGCCATAAGAGTAAACTTGAAAGAATATTATAAAACTAATGAAGCTAAAAATTCCTGATTATATTACATTGAAATGGTTATAATAAACATTCTAGTTAGTCAGGAATCTTTACTTCTATTGGCCATTCATAATGGATATATGATCATGAAGCATGTAACAAGAAACATGTGTAATACTGGTGTTAATAGAGTGGAAAGTTCAATGAGAAAACAAAATAAAACCTAAAAGTGCATGAGACCAAACTAAACAAAAAAGGTGCACCAGATGACATCTAAGAAAATTATGAAATTTTCCATGACACTGAGTGACAAGCTTTGGGATGCATAAAAAGAATGGGAGAAAAAGAAGACAGATATACAATAACTAGGAAAAATAAGACTCTCTGAATTGACAAGGGAATATAATTTTTTCAAATGACCGTTTGTCTTAAGGGAACCAAATATTTTAGTCATGGGCTACCAACTAAGCATGCAGTGTTCTTATGATTTATCTCATCACATCATCTGCATTCGGTTTAACACGTGCAATCTCAGCAAATAAACTCTTTTTCAGCATTCCTGTGTGGTCAGGTGACTTAAGTTAAATGTCAGGGGAGATAGCAAGAAGCTACAGCTTAGCATATTCATCAGTGTCTAATGAGGGTCTTAAGATGAGACAGAACTGAAGTTAATTCACCAAATTTGTTTGTATTATAGACGTAAAAGGTGGCAAATATGAACTTAGGAAAGGTGACTCATAAAAATTTTAAGTGATTTACCCATAAAATAAAAACTAAATAATTATGTATACCTATGTATTCTTACTCTGTCAGTTTTACCCAAATTATGTAAATTGGAAATAAGTGCCCTTACTGTGAGGATATCACATGGTATTTCACAATATTGTTTATGGATAGCATTCTCTACTCTTCTATAACTCTTATGTCTGTTCTTTAATTCAGCAAATATTTATTATGCCCTGATGTCACTCTCAGAATTTTATTAGGTTCTGTGAGAAATGAAAACAGCGGAAAATACAAGATCTGTCTCAAGTCAGGTTTCTTAGAAGCCAAGCCTGACTGTAATTGACTGAGCTAGTGCTCCTTAGGAAAACCCTGTAAGCAGAGGAATAAAGCTGGATGTGATAGTGAAGGGATTCAAGAATTCAGCAATGATGTGGTCTCAGGAAGTGTAGCTTCACCCTGACCCATAGGTGAGAGTTCTAAAGCATGAATTGCAGTTCAGAGTTGCCCTGGAGTCAAAGAGGCTGACTATTTATGCCCTACATCAATCATTAGCTATGAGACATCCTTTTCTTGGCTTAGTTTCCTGGGTGAGTTGGCTCCACACAGCCTAGAAATACTCTCCAGAGGAGGAGACAGCTAGGCTCCATGAGCAGCTCGCAGACAGTGCAGAGCTGATAGAGCAAATAGACACTTCAGTATGGACCACAGCCTTGCCTTTTCTTTTTCTTTCCCCTGCCCTTCTACTTCTCAGTCTCCACTTTCCTCCATTTTTAAACCATGTCATCATTTGCAAATTTCTCACCACTCTTTACTGTTGCTTGGTGAGATCCACTGGTACTTTAAGGCCTTCTTCACCTCCACTGGTGACACTTTCACTTATGAGACTGCTGGTTAAAATCAGTGTAATACAACTAGTTGACCTCCCTGGTCAGAATCCTCCAATAATTTCCCAAATTCTTCAGCATGATCTACAAGACTCTAAAGATCTGGTCCTCCAATACTTTTCTGACACTCTTTCCTGTCACCCAGCACTACCCCTAATATAACGATTCGACTCCAGTTGCATTAGCCTCTTTGCTGATTCTCAAACATACTAAGCATGCAGATCATTGCAAATGCTGGTTACTCTCCCTAAACTTTCTCTTTCCATTCTTGTCATGGTTTGTTCATGTCTTCCTTTAAGTCTGTGATCGGATGCTGTTTCATCTGTCAGGCTTTTCTGACTACATGATATAAAATAGCTTCCCTCTTAAAACACATTCATCACCACCTAAAATATTATATATTGTTGGATGGTTTGATTGATTGGTTGACTGTCTAATCCAGCTAAAATATACACAGACCCATAAGAAGAAGGACACTGTTTATCTGTTTGCCACTGGTTTTTCTACACCTAGAGCAATGTCAAGACTATACTAGCAACTCAGTGATTATTTGGTGAATTAATGAATAGGTGCCAGAAAGACCAGAATAAAAAGCAAAAATACTCTACAATTGTCAGAGAAAGCCATGCTGGAGTGACTTCTGTGCTGAGACTTTACAGGTGAATTGAAGATTTACAGGTAAGAAGGTAGACAAGAACTTTCCAGGCAGCGAAATGAGCCAGTGCCTCTAAAGCAAGGAAGCGCAGTGTCTCTGCAGTTCTTTGCCTATGCTCTGCACTTTAAAGGGCCCATCAATAACCACAACAGTTTTCTGCAAGAGGAGACCTCTCAGATCTGTATTCTGCTTTCCATTACAAGGCAGCTAGCTTGATATTTCCATTTACATGTTCTGTTGTCATCTTAAAACTACACTTTTTGAATTTATTCATGTGGCTAAGGTATGACAGTGATGAGAGACTGCTCATTATCACTCACCTTCTTATCCCATCAGTTAATAATTTTATTAATCTTTTCCTTATAATATCCTTTACTCTCCCATAACTGTTGCCACATCCGTATCCTAATTTTTCATGCTATGTTTGCCTATTGACTGGTTTTTCTGACTCTAAACTCTCTCATTTCATTTCATCCTGCACCATTTTGCCAGGTGCACAACTCTAACTTAGACTTTCACATCTCACTCAACAGACTCGTGAGATTATCTACAATGGTTAGTTTCAAAGTTATAGACTCACAGTCAAGGCCATCCAGGACTTGACACCAACCACCTCCCCACTTTTTCCTATTTCTGTTTCTTTCCGTGAAGTTCCAACTTTGCTCACATTAGTTCCACATGCACTCATCTACAGTTGCACTTTTGCTCATGGTTTCCCACCATCCTGGAAACCCATCTCATTCCTATGCATTTAACTGTGCTTTTCATGCAGTTCATGCTTTAGAATTCTCACCTATGGGTCAGGCCGAAGCTACACTTCCTGAGACCACATCATTGCTGAATTCTTGAATCCCTTCACTATCACATCCAGCTTTATTCCTCTGCTTACAGGGTTTTCCTAAGGAGCACTAGCTCAGTCAATTACAGTCAGGCTTGGCTTCTAAGAAACCTGACTTGAGACAGATCTTGTATTTTCTGGTGTTTTTATTTAACCTATGCATTTAACCCATCGTTTAAAACCTAGCTCAGATTTTCTCTCTACATGCAACTTCCCTGACCAGTCTATTTAAAAATAACTTCCAAATATTTAAAAAATAAATTTTATTGTATATATTTAAGGCATACGACATGATCATAAAAGTATCTTCTCTCCAATGTTCGTTTCAGCATTATTCACAATAGCCAACATATAGAAACAAGCTAAGTGTCCATCAACAAACAAATGGATAAATATTTAGAACTTCTAAAACTTCAGTCTCTATCATCCATTTGGAAAGTGGTCGTTTATTTCCATGTAATATATTCCGTGTCTTTTACATTGAAATATTATTTAAATGTATTATTTTCATTTAACTTTTTACCTTTTAATTTTTTTATTTTTGTAAGTTGATTTTAAGTTCTCTTGGGGGCAGGGATAAAATCATGGTGTAGGAACCTACTGCCTCCTCTTTTCCTGCCCCAAGTCACCTTGTAAAGAAGGTTACTTACTGTCAAAGTAACCTCCCTAATAGGTTCTAACATCCACAGCAACCCAAGATCATCCATAAGATTAAACTTCCATAAATATTTATACATCATTCTCTCTGCCTAGAAGTTTATTTTATTTTACTTTTTACCTAAAAATTCCCCATTTAAGCGTTAAGATTCACTCAGCCACAAAGTCACTACAATTTAGACTTAGCTTACCTTACTTCGCAGCTTTTGTTTCTACTTCCTTTTTATCATCCCATTATGAGGTTCCTTCTATTTTAGCTCTGGTTTTATATACAGTAGGAGATTGTGATTTGTGGGAGTTAAGAACATAGCCTTCTAGGTCAGATCTGGATTTGAACTTGACTCTGTCCTTCTGTTGCCTCTATTAGATTCACAGCTGCCATAGCCAACAGTATCAGGCTTTGCATGACCATAGAACAACTAGATGCGATCATATTTTGTGCTTACATCAACTACTACAAATAGCTTTGTGAGTGAATAAACCAAGAATATATTGTTTTTGTTAATCTTACAGACCCTCCACAGTAAAGTAAGTAGATCCATTGGCTTTTTTCTTCTTTTGTCACAAGTTTAAAGAATTAAACTTTGAGAAGAAAATGGATGGAGAGGGTGTTGCAGATTGGGATAGCTATGCTAATTAATTCCTCAGGGAAAACACTCTCACTTTTACGTAATTTTATTCTGATTGATTTTCATAGCTGTTCTCTTGTTATGATGCTTGCTTATCTGACAGACTGTATGGTCCTTCTCTTTTGCCTTTTGAGAGCTCTGGATGATATCTTGTTCCATTACAAAAATTTTTTAGGCCAAAAAGCATAAAAATACATACTCATATTTAATGTTAGAAGAAGCAAACCTGGAATATTGTTACTCACCTGGAAGTTATCTTGCAAATAAACATTTATTTTCTTAGGCTATACCAACAGAGATCACGTTATTGCATTTTATTTTATGTCATATGATCTCTTTATTTTTCAAGAAATATCTCTGTTATCCTAGGTAATACTCATTTCTTCCAAGCTGTAAAAATATTTAACAATGTAGCAAATACTACCTACCAAATAAGGAACTACTTCTTTGAGCAAAGTTAGTTTCAGACACTTTATTATTTTTGTCAACTGAAATGCTTCTACTTCTAATAACAAAACCCCTGACTTAAAATGAGTTAAACTATAAAGAAAGTGTACTATCTGGTATAACAAGAAGTCGTGAATTATGATGGGTGTCTGAGTTCGTTGATTTATGGGTTCAACAATATGATCAACTCTCTGTATCCTTTTAATTTCTGTACTTCTGTCATAAATATTTGCTTGGATGCAACATTTCCAGACATCAAATGTAGAGAAAACAAATAGATCATTTCTTCCTTTCTCTGTCTCCTAAGAAATAGAAAAATGTACAGAGGCCACTGAGCAAACTCACCTCTTCCCCACCATGCTTCATTGAGGAAATTTCAGACCCATACACGTTTGGGGACTGATAGTGTTTGGCTGTATCTCCACCCAAATCTCATCTTGAATTGTAGTACCCATCATCCCCACATGGCGGGGAAGGGACCTGGTCAGAATCAGAGGTAATTGAATCACGCGGTCTGTTATCCCCATGCTGTTCTCATGATAGTGAGCGAGTTCTCAGGAGACCCGATGGTTTTATCAGGGGCTGAGACAGGGACATCCAAGAGCTGACTTCATGGTGATGCTATCTATGCAATAGCACAGGGTCCTGGACTTAGAAGAACACCATTCTTAGTTTAATGCTCTGCTAGCATCATCTTGAAATTCTGAATAATTATTAATAAGAAGCCTGCATTTTTATTTTGTACTGGACCTCACAAAGTTTTGTGGTTGAGTCTACATATTCCCATGAGATAATTAGCTTTATGGGGCAGGGATGCATATCTAAATAGAATATATAGGTGTACTAAAAAGGAAGATGAGAAGATAGGATTCTGGGTAGCCTACCCATAGATTTTACTCCATTCATCATTTTTTAAGTTTAGAACTGGTTTGACTCCACTCTAAATCACCAAGAGCAACAACAGTAGTGAAGTAACTAGTTCAGTAAATACTGGTCAATCAATTCCTCAGATTAAAGAAGGCACTGAGCATGAACTGGAAATCCGTAGTATAGTGGGGGATTTCCAAGCAAAGTGATTAAAAGTGAAAGCATTCCTTCCTACATTATTGCTCTTGATAGTACTGAAAAATCATACATTTGACCTCTCAAACTAATTTTCTTCCACTAATACCTCTCTCCCAAACTTAATATACGACCCTCCCCTTCATGTACATAGACACACACGCAGACCCACACACCGAGACACACCCAGACACACACACATATACACATACACACACACACACACAGAGTTCATTATTATTGATATAAGAGAAAAGCAGAATGGCTTCTCACTGGTGTAAGAGAAAAGCAGAGATCCTTCAACCATATTACAAGGTCAAGCATGATCTTGTACCTGCCCACCTCCCCCACCTTCTATAGGGCTTCTTGCTACTTCAGTTTCTGAGCTTTGACTCTCTGGGCTGTACAATCTCCTTAGAGCTCCATGTTTTCTGCAACTTAGGAACTTTGGTCATATTATTCTGTCTGCCTCCTTTTCCCTCTCCTCCTTTTCACCATAGTGAACTTACACGCATGCTTACAATCAAATTCGAAGTTCTTTTCTCAGAAAACCTTTCCTATACCCAATGGCTGGCCCAGTTATTTTGTTATTGGAGCCTACAACATAACATAGCTTTCCTCCACAACTGGTGTCTCAATTTTTTTATGAACACTTTAACCAGTGTCTGCAATTTGTAGTGTAATGCCAAGAGAGCTTAAGCCTGCGGGATCAAGGATGGCAATCAAATATCAGCTTCATAAAGCTTTTTCAAAATCTGGCTCAAATCATGATAACCACTAAAGAGTAATATGCAAAGAGTGAATCTGGGTCATATCACTAACTGGAGATTTTGCTGTGTACAGGATATGAGTTAGATTAAGCTTCGTAATTATGTTCAATTGGTTTGTCTATTATTTCACCAAAAATACAACTTTTGAGCTCACGTATTTTGTAAATTGGATCTATATGATTTTTTGTTTTAATTTAAGCAGGAAAGCCACAAAAATATTAGGACATCCTGATCCAGTGCCAGATCTATCTGCATTATTTTAGTTGAATATTTTATAATGTACTTTGAGGATTCTTTTTAAACTATACACTGTAACTTGGCTACTCGTTGAGTGATTTTCAGTCATTTCATTGTTTTCTCAAAGCTTCTTACTTTGCTCATCAAACTCCAATATTGAAATTCTTCTGAATCTGATGGGCTTGAGATGCTTTCTAATGAAGTATGGGGGACAGGTTTTTATACTCTCTTGGCTTGTTGTCCCTCATTAGAGACAACTTTGAATTTATATTTTCATTAGGCCTCTTTCCAAGTGTTAACAATATGGTTGGGGATCTGACTGCTAATTAAAGAACTGGAGTTAAAATAGAACTGCAGTTTTAAAGGTGCACTCTCTATATGTTTGTGTGTGTGTGTGTGTGTGTGTGTGTATGTCTGCACATCTATATGGCTACTCGTACACAGATTCACACATACACAAACACACAATTAGTGCCTACATTGTTTTTTACAACTCAGTGATTGTGCTGAATCCATTCATTTATGCATTCAATATTTATTGAGTACCTACTATGCTCCAGGAACTCATCTCGACATTAGGGATACAGCAGCAAACCAAAAGGATAAGGTAATTCTGTCACGTAACTTATATTGTAGTAATGGAGAGAGACAAGCACCAGTAAAAACATAAATATGTTCACATAATAATAAGCACTATGAAGATAATACATTTGGTTAATGTGATAGTTATGTGGCAGATAGTGATTGAGATGAGGAAGAGTTGCTATTTGATTTAGGTGATCAGGAAAGATTCATAAAAAACGTAATATTTGAGCCTGACCAAAATGATTATATGAAACAAACAATTTGAATATTTTAGACAAAAATAATCTAACTGAAAGTAAACTAAACTCAGTCATGAGTCAGGTATAGAGTCCATCTTTATATAACTGGAAACTTTAATTGATTGGAACAGATTTTTTTTTAAGTTCAATAAACTTCAATGTTGAACTATTTTCATTTTCTCCTTTGTGACTGCATGAAAGGGGAACGCTTGATGATTACTCATCTGTGGGACTTTTTATCCTTTACAACTAACATTTTTGTCCAGGGTTTCCTTCTCATTGACTACTCCGTCTTGGACAAATTACTTAACATCTTGGATGTTTTTAAAAAAATTATCAGTAATGCTTGCCCTGTTATCTCACCACAGGGTAAGGGGTAAGGTTGTAAGATACTTAAGGGAAGATTCAGGAATCTGGCTTATAACTCAATATCTGTGAAACATTGAGGGAAATTATTTAGTATTTCTTCACCTCAGTTTCTGATCTGTAAATTATGGAATAATAGAATCTACCTCAGAGCTGTTGTGAGAAGGATCTGGGACTTAGTAAGGACTCTTAATAAATTAGGTATTATTTTAATCAGAAAAGGTAGTGGTTATGAAAGTTATTTGCAACTGAAAGGAACTCTATAAACAGAGGGTGTAATTATCTGTTTGGTAAGTAGGTAGTCAGGCAATAATTATTGGTTAGTAGTTTAAAGCATTTTGCTAAGAAATTGTCTTTTTTTTTCAATTTGTGACATATTTTGAGTAGAGAATTGAGCTGTTTTAGAACCATTATATTTTACCACAATCCATTACTGTTTTTAAAAAGTTTCTGTCCAGAAATATCATTTTCACATGGGATAGTAGACATGTAATAAGTCAACATATTTATTATCTCTAGGAAGGTAAGTATTCCTTGTCTTCTTATAGAGGAGTGAATGTTTTCATTTGACATTTTAGTCTTAAAGAGACAAAGAAGTATTCCTTATGCATTAGGTACGAGGTGAATGAAGATAAATGGAGACAGTTTTAGACACTCAGGGGAATAAGTACAGTCAGAATAAAAGGGCCACTTCCATTTCTAAGCTTAAGAAAGCTCGCGAGGCCACAATGAATAATTATATACTAAACGAAATGTGCAATTATTAATGGTACTGTATCACTTTTCGCAATTTAATTGTCTACCCGAAGACTATCCAAAGATACTACATTATATTCTCTACTTTTTTACTTCTTTGCCTACTGAAGCTTTTATAATGATTTACATTAGTAATAGGCTTTCTCCAGTTCACTTAATCATTCTCAATTTATTCTTCCTTTGATGGAAAGCAATTAAAGAGAGTGTAGAGCCCCTCCCCACCTAATATCAGAGTCCTCACTTTCATAGGCACAGGTGTATGGTGGTCTACTTTCTTAGGTGTGCAGCTGCACCAGAGTCCTGGCCATAATGTGGAAGCCATTATAGCCCAACCTTAAGGCCTTTACAATCCTGGATTGCAACTTTCAAAAAACGAATGACAGGAATGATAGCTAACATTTCTCAAGCATTCACTATATGCTACAGACTGTGCTCATCTTTCTGTGTGGATTTATTTCCTCATTTATATCCAAACTATGAGGAAGGGATGTGCATAATCCTTATGTTATCAGTGGGAAAATCGAAGCCCAGAAAGGTAAGGTAATTTGCCATGGTCATAGCCAGAATGTGGAGGCACATTAACCCAGGTTCAGGTATCCTGGCTTTAGAAACTGTACTTTTAACCACCAATGATCAGTGTAAGTCAAGTGATGCCACTCTCCCACACACGCTTTCCGAAAGTCTCCTGTCACAATTTACACTTGCAGATCTCAGTGCTCAAAATCTTCTTTCTTCAGCTATTCATGTATTTTACTCCTTCATTTTTTTTGGGTCTCTGCTCAAATGGTACCTCCTTCCAGAGGTCTTCCTTCACTGCACCATTCAAAATAGCAACCCCTGACACTCTCTATCACTTAACCTGATATCTCTTTCTTCATAGGTATTAATCATTACTTGACGCTACATACTATCTATTCGTTCTATTAATATTTCCTCCACCATCCACAAGGAACTTGAAGACAGAGAATTGTTTTGTTTCATTTTGTGTCCCCAACATTGTAGCAGCTTAATAAATATTTGTTGGAAGGAAGAATGTATTAAAAATTACTAAAATAAGAAATAAATGAGTGTCAGTATTAAGTACAGTACCTGGCACAATGAAAGCATTTAATAAAGATTACTTCATTTATTTTATTATAAAACTAATGATAATTATGATTTTCAAAAGTGATCAGAGAAATATAGTGGAGGGAAAAGAAAAAATGCTGAATTTTCCTGAAGGGACCTAAAAAGCTGAGGTAGAGTCAATAATCTAGATAATTTTGTTAAAAATATAAAAAATATTAGCCTGAAAGGCAAAAAAAATGAAGTAGAACCTTTAAAAAATATATCAATAATTATCAGCTACATTGAAATTTACATGGTAAACTCTATGCACAAAGTTAATACATATATTTTTCCGAAGAGTGCAGTAAAGATGGCTTTTAAAATTTGACATATATTTTAGCACTAGTTAAAAATATATACTATATTTTGAAGTATGTGTATACCAAAGTCATATGGCTGGATGATATAAAAATAACATAAACTAGGGTATAAAATGATTTATATGTGTTTGTGATATATTTTCAACAGAGAGCAGAATTGTGCTGTATTCTGGAAGAACCGAATTAGTCAACTTGTAATAAACACAGAAACAGCTGACTTACTAAATTACTAGAAATAATGTTCCCATTTTGCAGTTTATGACAACTGCTCTGATTTTTTTACTTCATGCATCACTTTTTAAAGATTTTTTGGCTAAACACTGTGCCACTTGACTGCCCGGCATTATTTTCCATAATAGAGGAGTCAATACAAAACTAGTAAAT
This sequence comes from Homo sapiens, assembly GCF_000001405.40. NCBI lineage: Eukaryota > Metazoa > Chordata > Mammalia > Primates > Hominidae > Homo > Homo sapiens. The sequence goes on from NC_000005.10 coordinate 165,166,763, forward strand.
TTCATGAATCATAGAAATATTATTTTCTGTTTCCTCAATTCAGAAATATAGATGCATTATCTAGAAAAAGATGACAAGTCAGTCTCTAATAACACTCTACATTGTGCGAAACAATTATATAATCCACTTCTAGGCTCTTGGGGATGCAGTGGTAGGCAGTGACAATAAAGTCCTTTCTGTCATTTTGTGCACACTGTAGTAGCCATGAATGAATGGTGCCTGGTGTACCTCCTCCTTCCACGGGAAGTGGGGAAGTCTCCAGTTGCCAGGTTTCTGCTACATTATCCTTAATTCTTAAGTGATGCTTTTGAAGGTGGATTCCAAGAGTCCTTCACTGTAATTACATATAATATGTATTAAAATATATAATATATATTTTATATTTTATAAAGTATAACTACAAGTGTATATTTAATAATTTTAATATATAAAATGTATAATTTTTAATATAATTTAAGTTCTAGGGTACATGTGCACAACGTGCAGGTTTGTTACATATGTATACATGTGCCATGTTGGTGTGCTGCACCCGTTAACTCATCATTTACATTAGGTATATCTCCTAATGCTATCCCTCCCCCTTCCCCCCACCCCACAACAGGCCCCAGTGTGTGATGTTCCCCATCCTGTGTCCAAGTGTTCTCATCCTTCAGTTCCCACCTATGAGTGAGAACATGTGGTGTTTTGTTTTCTGTCCTTGTGATAATTTGCCCAGAATGATGGTTTCCAGCTTCGTCCATGTCCCTACAAAGGACACGAACTCATCCTTTTTTATGGCTGCATAGTATTCCATGGTGTATATGTGCCACGTTTTCTTAATCCAGTATGTGTATTATATATATATATATGTATTTTTATATATATGTAATTACAGTAAATGACAGTAATTACAGTAAATGACTGTAGAAAACTTAAACATATACATTATATGTGTAAATCTGGAGCTAAGCTAGGGTTGTTCCTTTGTCCTTTCTGATGGTTATAGCTAAGGGATGTGAAGCTTGACAGCTGTTGGCACCCAAATTTCCATTTATATGAATAAAGATGGTCTACAGTGCAAGAGAATGGATCTAAGCACCTAGAAAATGAACCATTGAGGAAACCCAGCCCCACTGAGACCCTGTGGTCAGTTGAACCCAGATGCTCCCATGCACTTCTCTTGGATTGGTTATATGAGATACTCTAGTACCTTTAAAACCAATTTCTCTTTTCTTGCCTAGGCTAGTTTGAGATGTTTTTCTGTCATTAAAACCAAATAAGTTGTAATTCATATCATTAGACTTATATACCTGCCAAGGTCCAAATGTACAATTGACAATTATGTACATCATAGAAAGGATTTTAAAGTAAAAAGAAATAAAACCATCTCTTCTTAAATGCAGAAATCTATATGTAGTCTTGGACAATAGCCATAATGAAAGTTGAAAATGTCAGCTACCAAAATGAATGGTAAAAGTAATGAAGAAACTTGTACATGGAAACTGAAGAAAATGCAAAATACCCTTAAGTAAGAAAAAAATAAAGATTGAGGTTAGAAATAATTAACATTTAAAAATGTTTAAAGGGAAGATATAGATTTATAATAGCACACTCAGGACACAGAGGGTAAAATCCTAAAACAGGCACACAAAGAAAAAAAATTAAGACTATATTCATTACTATAACAAGCTGTATATAGTGGATAAGATACTGTCAAGAAGGCATGGATATGCTGAACTATTAACAAAGTGAAGGCAGAGTTTTATATAGGTATGATGGGGTAGAACTGAAGGAATGAGAGGGTAATAAAGACAAATTAGAATTAAGTGCAGAAGTACACAGGAATAGGTCAAAGAATTAAATTTGTATGGACTAAAGTAATCTGGTGTGACTTAAATAGAGAAAGATGGACTTGAATACGACCTACTGTTTGGAGAGGTGGAGGGCAAAACATATATAATTTAGGATAATAAAAGAATGGTGTACTTGGGGGATAATTAAGGAATCAACTGGCTAGTAAGGTTGTTATTGCTAACATGTAATAAGAAAGTCGTTTCCTTTTTCCACTCAGGTCATTTTTCTTTTTATTTATTTTCTTTTTTTCAGGACAAAATAATCACCATTCACTATCACCACTTTCTTTCTTGTTACACTACTTTTCCCCTAGCCCCTGCCCCCAAACAAGACACTCTATTAAATTTTATTCTGCGATCACTTACAACTTTCTATCAAAACCACCCTCCTTGACACACATATGATCCTCTTTGACTTTTCTGTTGGTATATGAAGATGAACAAAAATCATACCCATCAAGGTAGGGCTTTGAAAAGTGCAAAGAAACCTCCTTCAAGGAAATTACAAAGATTCTCTACGTCTGAAAGTCTAGTTTTCACACCTTACGTCTCCTTTGAGTCTTCCAAGTATGAACCTAAATTGACCCACCATTTGCTTCCTGTTTTCCTAGCTGGGTCTTGCTCGTTTCTCAGTCTCTCCTAAGGTACTGATAGGGCCCCTTTTCAGCAAATGATTGTACTGGAAGGGAATGGTGGGTTTAGGAATGGAATGCTTCACATAGGAAAGGCAGTTTTCCTTATCCTACCATCCCATTGCAATATTATCAGTCAGTCCTTAGTCTAGGCACACCTCAGCCTGTGTTCTTAGCCATTGTAGTCAAATTATCTGCTTTTTCTCTGTAGTCTTCATTAGACTGTGGGCAGCTGGAGGGCAATGACCAAGTTCATTCATCTTTAAATTCTCAATGGCTAGCAGGCTACCTGCCACATTGTAGATGCTCAGTAAATTTTGGTTAAACTGGACAGAATTGCATCATTACTATTGTAACATTCTGGATAACTCCATTATAATGTACAATATACTGTATTATCTGTTTTCTTTGTATTTTTCAAGACAAAATTCCCCCATTTTATTCATTTGTGTTCTTTCTCTCATAGTACATATTAAAATATTGTTGCATGCATGAATTAAATAAGTAGACAAATTAGTGAATATTAATATGGTAAAATAAAGTCAAAATGATTATTGAGGTTTAAGAAATGGGGAATTGAAAATGATTGGGGGTTGGCTGAAGATATATATCTTGCTGGAAAATATTCAGTTAGTGATGCAATGGGAAGTCCAAATGGACAGAAAATCTAGCCCCAAATCATTTGTAGTCTATCCATCATTCTAACTTTACCCCTGTTCTATCCCTTGTGGCTCAGTCACATCATAAAACAGTTTGTCTCTATGTCTTTACTTGTGTGATTTATCCACCTGGAATAACCCTACTTTTTGTCTCTATTTTTGTCAAAGTTCTATTTGTCCTTCAAGAACCTATTTGTATCTCACATCCTCCCAAATTTAGTCCCAGTTCTGCCCAATAGCATGCATCTTTACTATGCATCTTTCTCATCTGTACTATTTTATATTTCAGATAGGTCTCCATAGTAGCACTTACTGCCACTAACTTGCATTATGTTTGTTTTTACATATTATGTTTATTTGCAATCATCTACAATAAATTTTGATGGATTGGGAATTAGGGGTAAATTTCTCATCCTATATTTACAATTCCTAAACTGTTTTGCACAAAGAAGATACACCGTGTCTGTATACCTAATATAGTCTCTTAATGGTGATTAAAATTATAAGCCTAGAGATAATGTAAAAGCTCAGCAATGTATACACATCAAAACACTATGTGTGTGTATAATATTAGAACAATAAACATAGTAGATAAATTCGTTTGGGAGCAATCAGCTTTGGGAAATGGCCTCAGTATAATAGAAGTACCTGTATTGTACCAAAATTAATAGCTGTGTTGGAAAGATCAAAAGTGATATCACAGGCAATATAATTTTTACGTCATGCCCATCTTTGAGGCATATGGCATCAAACTTATTTTCTTCTCTTTAACTCAGGGTTTCAATCATGTGTGTGCTTGTGCTGCTGACCAGGACCTCAGAGAAATATAATGTTTGCCAATGCCATTATTCGTGGGGTTTGCATAAATTACTTTTTAGATTTTTTTTCTTTTTTCTTCCCAAATGGTTTATGAAGCTTGGGAGAAAATATTATCCATAATTGCTACACCTTAGATTGCAATATACTATACCAAACTAATCATAGATATTTATAGCCTGCATAAACTCTGTTTGCCCATCCATGGCAAGCATTTAATAAAGCTAGTTCATCTGGAAAGGAAGTTAAATTAAATAATCCAAAATGAATATGATGCATAGTCACAAAAATGTGGTGTTCAGATTGAGCTAACAAAAAGGAAGTCAGGCCCCAGCAAAGACAGACAAGCTAGAAGTTAGTCTTTCTCTCTGTATGAAACATTAAGTCTTTACCATATCTTTTCTGTCCATTCTTTTTAGACAGTGTGCCTCGGCCCATTTTTGTTAAATTCCCTAAAATCCAATGTGTCTCTATTAATACTGCATAGATATAATATGAAATTATCCTCCAGCTCCAAAATACAAATTCAAAAACTATATAAGAAAATTCAGATAAAACTTTCAAGGTAGAGTTTACTTTTTCAACAGAAGAGCAAAATTAATTTAAGTGTAAATGTACAACAAAGTCGAGCTAATAGAAGGATGGTGAAGTAAATTTTGGTATTTTCGTTCTTCAGATACTACAGAATTTCCAAGGACTTGAGGAATAATTGCACTCTTGAAAGAGCCTATGAAAAAAGAAGAGACTTGGGAAATTTAACAGAAGTTCACTTTCCACCACTGCGCAAACTAAGGAAAAACTTAAAGCAGTAAATAGCTGCGGTTGGCAAAGCTGTTTTGGCTCAGGAGCAGCTATCAGGCCTTGATAAGGTCCACAAGTCTGCTGTTCTAAAATCAAAAAAAAAAAAAAAAAAAACAACCCTAAATGTTGAAAGTATTTTTGTGAATCATTTGGTGTCAAAACCTCTCTTGACTTGAACTAATAGGAAGTAACACATAGTCTTTTCCTTTTCATATAAATAGTCACATGTTTTGCTAGAGACAGATTATTGGTAGTGTTATATTATGCATGGGGCTTCCTTTCTAAAATCAGAACCATTTTGAACTCTGAAACACATCTGGCCCCAAAAATTCCAAATGAGGGATTTTATATGTGATGAAACCATTTTTTTCTATCATCCAGCACCATTACCTCCCATCACCCCAAGCACACACACAAGCTCATGTTTCCATTTGCATATGTTGTCTGAGAATCATTTTGTTTAGGGACAGTTTTTGAGACTGGTAAGGGAATAGAGACATTGTAGAATATATTTTTGCATCTTTCCCTACTCGTATGACAATTAATCCTATATATTTAGAAGGGTATGAAGCAGAAGTTGAAAAACCTTTCTTTTTCCTGAGTTATTGAGAATTTGACCCAAAGCACATCTCTTTCATGATTTTCATGACAAAGGATGGCATAGGCCTGAAGAGAAGGCAAATGTCCTCAGAATTCCACTCTGGCTGACACCATGAAAGCTGTCAGATTTGGAAGCACAAGGTTCCATGAATCCTGACACAGCCACTGGTGTTCAATTGCATAACACCTATGAGCAGTGGCAGCAGTTGATTTGGAAGTATTAATAATTTGCCTTCAAATGACTTGGAAAGCATTGAAAAGCAATAAATGAATAGTAGATCAGGCAAAGGGTATCCTTGAGATAATGTGCTGATTGTTACACTGATTTATGAGTCACTAGGAAACATGGTTTTGGGAAATTCAAGAAATAACTGGGGCACATTTTTAGGGGAGCTAGGTTCTTGATAATGTATAGGACTCAGAACTATTCCAATAGGAACATAAATGTAAGAGTGACAGTGATTAAACCGGGTGACATTTGGGTTTGATAGGCTGATGTTTTGTTGCTTAATGCCCTTCAAAATACCAAAATACTTTTATCCACTTTAGCACTACTATCTCTATTCTTTAAATAAAATTTCCAAACTGTTCTAAAAGTCAGGTGTTTTTGCCTTTAAAGAAGCACTGTCAAATGTACTTGCTTCCAAATCCAATGAGTAAAGCCAAATCCACAGGAATATATCCTTAACTTGCCATATTGTGTCTACTTTCATTTCCACTGCAATATTTCAGGCACTTCTTAGTTCAGGAGCAATCTATTGTGCTAACTTGCTTACTGGTGTCTATGCTTTCACTCATGTATCCCTCCAAGTCCTTTCTCTGCTGCCAAAGTTTTGTTATTAAGGCCAAGTTTAATTAGTTAACTCCACTTCTCAAACTCTCTCAATTGTTCTCATTGTGGGTATAAATACCCCAAATTATCATCCTAGTGACTTTGGCCCTTTATAATCTGAATCCAATCCATTGGCCTAATCTTATTCTTTTAAATCTCAGCTTTCACTCTATGACCTTTAATCAGATCACTCACCACTCACCAGTACTTGGACTTTCTATTTATTTGCCAGTGCCCAGCGCTATTTCTCTTGAAATGCATGTTCTATGATTTGAAGGTATCTTTTCCAAAATCCATGTGTTAGAAACTTAATCCTCAATGTAACAGTGTTGGTTGGGAACTTTTGGAAGGTGTTTAGGTCATGAAGTCCCTTCTGTCATGAATGGATTAATGCTGCTATTAGAAAGATTTGCAGAAGTGTGCTCTTGCGCTCTCTTGTGCACTAGCTCTCGCTGTCTCTGTCTCTTTCTCTCTCTCTCTCACACACACACACACACACACACACACACACCCCCTTCTGCCCTCCTTTATGTGAGGATTCAGTAAGAAGGCCTGCATCTGATGCTGGAGTTTTGATCTTGCACTTTACACACTCCAGAATAGTAAGAAATAAATTTCTGTTTTTTATAAATTACCTAGTCTCAGGCATTCTGTTATAGCACTAAAATAACGTGTCTCAGTTTCTAGCCTCCTGGTAGAATAAGCCTAAAGCAAACCTTAGTATGGGACAAAATACTTCCTCCAGTTTTTGTGGATTTATTTTCTCTTTTAAAAGTTTGCCAAAATCAATGGAAACCTTTCCGACAGAGACTTTCTTAAATAAGAGGGTCTTTAGTAGTCATAAACAAGAAGGGAATAATTTCATGGGAATATGATAGACATCAGCAGAGTCGTGTATCAGTTTGCCTATTAATCACAACTTGTGCCTCCATTTTTCTTGCCAACTGCTGAATAAACTTTGATGGGTTTGGCATCTATGTGACTATTGGAATGCTGTCAAGAAATGGTATTCAGAACCTGGGGCTCTAGTGGTGAGATGACATATGGATGTGCCTCTGGTGACTTCAAAACTTTCTTTTTGGACAAATTTATAATTTCTGCAGAACTGGAAGAACATCACTTACAATGATACTTGGCCATTTATATATTGTGCAGTTTAAGCAAGTGAATCAGTTGCTTCTTCAATTGCTAGCAAGCAAAAAGGTAGTGGAGAAGTCATTTATTAAATGTGCTTCAGCTAGCAATAAAGGTTTGGAATTGGATGCTATTTTGAAAGCATTGTCTGTTGACAGATGAGGGCCTAAGAAGCATGGGGTTAAGGATATCAAAAGCATTGAATTTTTTTTTTTTTATAAAAGAGGAAATATATCCCAGATGTTTAGTATTTGGAAACTATTTCTACCTCTATGTCTTTGATGTGAGAACCAGAGCCATTTCCCAGATTACAAAGGCCATAAGTTCATGCCGTCATAGGAATTTAGAGGCCTTTAGAATGGCATATGCCAAGTTCATGTGTGTGTGTGTGTGTGTGTGTGTGTGTCACTTCTCTGTAAATGTTAAGCATTTGAAAATTATTTTGTAAATAATTTTCACCAATCCTCCCCAATTTATATACTTTCTTTTGTTTGTTTTTGAGATGGAGTCTCATTCTTTTGCCAGGCTGGAGTTCAGTGATGCAATCTCAGCTCCCTGCAACCTCCGCCCTCCCAGGTGCAAGCGATTCTCCTGCCTCAGCCTCTTGAGTAGCTGGGACTACAGGCACACGTCACCACACCCAGCTAATTTTTGTATTTTTAGTAGAGACAGGGTTCCACCATGTTGGCCAGGATGGTCTGGATCTCTTGACCTTGTGATCCTACCATCTCGGCCTCCCAAAGTGCTGGGATTACAGGCATGAGCCACCGCACCCAGCCTGTATACTTTTTACTAAGCCTATAAATCACACCATGCTCTATGGCTTCTTTCCACCAGTGAAAATGACCCCTTCCCTATTTCCTTGATGTCTTTACATAGTTATTTTTGATGGATTATTTTATTCGTCTCCCAGTTTACTTTCCTTCCTCTGTAAACTAAAAGCTTCACTCTCTTAGAGGCATTGGGACACTGGCTTCCATTCTAATCTTCATCTTCCTTTTCTCACTCCTTTCCTAGAAGGAAAAGCTGGACTCTAACTCGTGGCTTTGGGGAAGGCACAAATTAGCATAACTGATCTCTTCCCAAGCTATTTCTCTCAAGCCAACATGTTCATGTGATAGTTTTAGTCTTCTCCTCTTCTATTTTCTGCATAATAAGAAAATGTGGGTTAGGGCCAAGGCTCTGTCTTCTGGCTTGAAATCTGGGGAATCATCTCCCTATCCCTGCCTTTGGGTCTCCATAACAGGAGGCAGCAATTCCTCCTGCCACTGGTTAAATATTTATTTGAAGATTCTATTTCAGGAAATGTGGACTGCAAGATCAAGAGAGAGAGGAAATACTTTATTTCGAGCCACTCTCCTTGCAGTCTCAGACTGGGTTCCAATCTTGCTGTGCCAAGAATAAAGTCAACTTCATATTTATATAGTTATATTATCCGGAGATCTGAGAAAGAATGGACGTTACACTGATCTTCTATGTTCTTTTATTTAGTTTCTAACTTCAATGTTATTTATATCTAAGTCTGAATGCTGTCTATATTGAAAATAGTTAATTTATTAAAACATTTTTTCACGTAAGTTTATGGTCACAGTACCTAATCTTTGCTAAATGTTTGATTTATTTCTAAAAAGTCTTAAAATGATAGTTTATGAGTGCTCTCTTATTACCCTTAAACTTTTGCCTTTTAAAATGACTTGTAGCTGGGTGCCGTGGCTCATGCCTGCCATCCCAGCACTTTGGGAGGCCAAGGGGGGGCGGATCATTTGAACCCAGGAGTTTGAGAACAGCCTGGGAAACATGGCGACACACTGTCTCTACAAAAAATACAAAAATTAACCAAGTGTGGTGATGCGTGCCTGTAGTCCCAGCTACTTGGGAAGCTGATGTGTGGGAAGATTGCTTGAGCCCAGGGAGGTTGAGGCTGCAGTGGGGCCATGATTGCACCACTGCACCCCCACCTGGGAGACAGAGTGAGATCCTATCAATAAATAAATAAATAACAACTTGTGATATCATGACCACGAATATATTTGTAAAGGTTTAATTATAAACTATTGTTAGCATTTGCCAAATTGGAAGGACATTTATTTTGAATCTATCATACCTATTTTCAACTTCAGTAATTACAAGTGGTCAATTGTTTTTCATTTACATTTACTTTCCTTCTTTTTCTATACTTAATTTAAATTATATTAATTTAATTATTATTGTATTTTTAGACCTGGGGTCTCACTCTGTCGCCCAGGCTGGAGTGCAGTGGCACGATCATAGCCCATTGCAGCCTTGAACTCCTAAGCTAAAATGACCCTCCTGCCTTGGCCTCCCAAGTAGCTGGGACTGCAGGTGTGCACCACCACACCTGGCTATTATTTTAAAGTAAGTCACAGAGCGTATTATTATATTATTTCATCTGTAAATAAATGAATGTATTTTTAAAAAGCATAAGAATATTGTTAAAAAAACTATAGTACTATATTCTTATACCTCAAAAATAAAAGTTCTTTAATATTGTTAAATATTTGTTCAGTGTTAAAATTTCCAATTTTTAATACATTTTTTTAACATTTTATTTTAAATCCAAAGCAAGTCCACATATTTTGCTTCATTGATATATCCCTTGTGTTCCATTAGTATATAGTTTTCCCTTCAAATTTCTACTCTCCCAGGGCCATTTATATCTGAGAACATTGCCGCAGTCCAGATTTTGCTGATTATATACCTCATGGCAATTTTAATGTGCTTTTCTGCCCTCTTTTTCCGTAAATCAGTAGTTAGATTTAATGCACTCTCCAATATGGTAACCACTAGATACATGTAGCTATTTAAATTCAAGTTAATTAAACCATTTTCATCGCAGCAGAAGGTTCTATTACAGAGTGCTGATCTGGAGGACGTAGCAGATTCAGGTTCAATTTTTGGCAATAGTTTTTCACACATGATCCTGTGTTCTTTCACCAGGTACGATATAAAGTTTTGCCTTTGTGATGTTAGCAGCTACCGATGATCAATGTCTAGTTGCATCATTCATTAAGAGTTGCAAAATCATCATAATCTAATTCTATAGCTCATGACCTGGAATTCTTATATATGTATGTGTGTGTGTGTGTGTGTGTACACAGACACACATATATACATGTATATATATATATGTGTGTGTGTGTATATATATACATATATATGTGTGTATATATACACATATATATGCGTGTGTATATACACGTATATGTGTATACGTATATATATACACATACGTGCACATATATATATATATATATATATATATATATATATATATATATAAAACTTCTCCATATTTATTCTACTACCAGTGGTACAGTTTAAATAGCACAGGCAGAATAAATACATGATTTTCCGCCTTTATTTGGTAGTTTTCAAAATAATAGATTGGTCATGAGGATACTCCAACTAAAAATGTTTGATGTGATTCAATCTGTTAAAATTTGTATCCATATTGATGCTCCAGTTTCTGCTTTGACATGTGGAAGTTTCTTCAAGTTGGTTCCTGTCAGGTTTTGCATGTGTATGTTGATTTTTTTTTTTTGGCATGACTAGTAGTTTTGGGTAGCTTCTTTTATTATTATTATTTTTCCATAAGTTGTGGGGTACAGGTGGTATTTGGCTACATGAGTAAGTTGTTTAGTGGTGATTTGTGAGATTTTGGTGAACCCACCACCCGAACAGTATACACTGCACCCTATTTGCAGTCTTTTATCTCTCGGCCCCCCTCCCACTATTTCCCCCAGGTCCCCCAAGTCCACTGTATCATTCTTATGCCTTTGCATTCTCATAGCTGAGCACCCACATATCACTGAGAACATACCATGTTTAGTTTTCTATTCCTCAGTTACTTCACTTTGAATAATTGTCTCCAGTCTCATACAGGTCGCTGCAAATGCTGTTAATTCATTCCTTTTTATGGCTCAGTAGTATTCCATCATATATATGTATATATATGTATATATATGTATATATGTGTGTATATATGTATATATAGTATATACATGTATATGTGTATATATTATATATGTGTATATATGTATATATTATATATGTGTATATATGTATATATACGTATATGTATATATACATACATATGTCTGTTTTTTTGGCAGTTTCTTTATCCACTCACTGATTGATGGGCATTTGGGTTGGTTCCATGATTTTGCAATTGTGAATTGTGCTGCTATAAACATATGTGTGCAAGCATCTTTTTAGTATAATGATTTCTTTTCCTCTGGGTAGATACCCAGTAGTGGGATTGCTGAATAAAATGGTAGTTCTACTTTTAGTTCTTTAAGGAATTCCACACTGTTTTCCATAGTGACTGTACTAGTTTACATTCCCACCAGCAGTGTAGAAGTGTTCCCTAATCACTGCATCCATGTCAACATCTACTGTTTTTTGATTTTTTTGATTATGGCCATTCTTGCAGGAGTAAGGTGGTATCACATTGTGGTTTTGATTTGCATTTCCCTGATCATTAATGACGTTGAGCATTTTATCATATGTTTGTTGGCCATTTATATATCTTCTTTTGAGAATTTGTCTGTTCATGTCCTTAGCCCACTTTTTAGTGGGATCGTTTGTTTTTTTCTTACTGATTTGTTTGAATTCATTGTAGATTCTGATATTAGTCTTTTGTCAGATGTATAGATTGTGAAGATTTTCTCCCACTCTGTGGGTTGTTTACTGACTGTTCCTTTTGCCGTGCAAAAGCTTTTTAGTTTAATTAAGTCCCAGCTATTTATCTTTGTTTTTATTGCATTTGCTTTTGGGCTCTTGGTCATGAAATCCTTGCCTAAGCCAATGTCTAGAAAGGTTTTTCCGATGTTACCTTCTAGAATTTTTGTAGTTTCAGGTCTTAGATTTAAGTGCTTAATTCATCTTGAGTTTATTTTTGTATAAAGTGAGAAGTGAGGATTCAGTTTCATACTCCTACATGTGGCTTGCCAACTATCCCAGCACCATTTGTTGAAAAGGGTGTGCTTTCCCCACTTTATGTTTTTGTTTGCTTTGTTGAAGATCAGTTGGCTGTAAGTGTTTGGGTTTATTTCTGCATTCTCTATTCTGTTCCATTGGTTTATGTGCCTATTTTTACACCAGTATCATGCTGTTTTGCTGACTGTGGCCTTATAGTATCTTCTGAAATCAGGTAATGTGATGCCCCCAGATTTGTTTTTTTTGCTTAGTCTTGCTTTGGCTGTGGGGGCTCTTTTTTGGTTCCATATGAATTTTAGAATTTTTTTTTTCTAATTCTATGAAGAATGTTGGTGGTATTTTGATGGGGATTGCATTGAATTTGTAGATTGGTTTTGGCAGTTTGGTCATTTTCACAATATTGATTCTACCCATCCATGAGCTTGAGATATGTTTCCCCTTGTTTGTGTCGTCTGTGATTTCTTTCAGCAGTGTTTTGTAGTTTTCCTTGTAGAGGTCTTTTGATGCCTTGGCTAGGTATATTCCTAAGTATTTTATTTGATTTTATTGCAGCTATTCTAAAAGTGGTTGAGTTCTTGATGTGTTTCTCTGCTTGGTTGCTGTTGGTGTATAGAAGAGCTACTGATTTGTGTACATTAATCTTGTATCCGGAAATTTGCTGAATTATTTTATCAATTCTAGGAGATTTCTGAAGGAGTTTTTAGGGTTTTCAAGGTAAACAATCATATCATCAGCAAACAGTGACAGTTTGACTTCCTCTTTACTGATTTGGATGCCCTTTATTTCTTTCTCTTTGTCTGATTGCTCTAGCTAGGACTTCAGTACTATGTTGAAGAGGAGTGGGGAGCGTGGGCATCCTTGTCTTGTTCCAGTTCTCAAAGGGAATGCTTCCAACTTTTTCCCCATTTAGTATTATGATAGCTTTGGGTTTGTCATAGATGGCTTTTATTACATTGAGGCATGTCCCTTGTATGCCAGTTTTGCTGAGAGTTTTAATCATAAAGGGATGCTGGATTTTGTCAAATGCTTTTTCTGCATCTATTGAAGTGATCATGTGATTTTTGTTTTTAATTCTGTTTATGTGGTGTATCACATTTATTGACTTGTGTATGATAAACCAGGCATGCATCCCTGGTATGAAACTCACTTGATTATGGTGCATTATCTTTGGTTTGTTGTTGGATTAGGTTAGCTAGTATTTTGTTAAGGATTTTAGCATCTATGTTCATCAAGGATATGGGTCTGCAGTTTTCTTTTTTGGTTATGACCTTTCTTGGTTTTGGTATTAGGGTGATGCGGGCTGCATAGAATGAATTAGGGAGGGTTCCTTCTTTCTCTATCTTGTGGAATGGTGAGAAAGGGATTGGTAATTCTTCTTTGAATGTCTGGTAGAATTCTGCTGTGAATCTGTCTGTTCTTGGACTTTTTTTATTGGTAATTTTTAAATTACCATTTCAATCTCACTGCTTGTTATTGGTCTGTTCAGGGTAACTTATTCGTCCTGATTTAAGCTAGGAGGGTTGCATTTTTCCAGGAATTTATCCGTCTTTTCTAGGTTTTCTAGTTTATGTGCATAAAGGTGTTCATAGTAGCCTTGAATGATCTTTTGTATTTCAGTGGTGTCAGTTGTAATACCTCCTGTTTCATTTTTTAATGAGGTTATTTGGATTTTCCCTCTTTCTTCTTGGTTAATCTTGCTAATGATCTATCAATTTTATTTGTCTTTTCAAAGAACCAGCTTTTTGTTTCATTTATTTTTTGTATTTTTTTTGTTTCAATTTCATTTAGCTCTGCTCTGATCTTGGTTATTTCCTTTCTTCTGCTGCATTTGGGTTCAGTTTGTTCTTGTTTCTCTAGTTCCTTGAGGTGTGACATTAGAATGTCAGTTGTGCTCTTTTAGTCTTTTTTTTTCTTTTTTTTTTTTTTAATTATACTTTAAGTTCTAGGATACACGTGCACAACGTGCAGGTTTGTTACATACGTATACATGTGCTATGTTGGTGTGCTGCACCCCTTAACTCATTTACATTAGGTATGTCTCCTAATGCTATCCCTCCCGCCTCCCCCCACCCCATGACAGGTCCCGGTGTGTGATGTTCCCTTCCTGTGTCCAAGTGTTTTCATCCTTCAATTCCCACCTATGAGTGAGAATATGTGGTGTTTGGTTTTCCGTCCTTGCGATAGTTTGCTCAGAATGATGGTTTCCAGCTTCATCCATGTCCCTTGTGCTCTTTCAGCATTTTCTTTTCTTTCTTTTTTTTTTTTTTTTTTCCTCAAGATGGAGTCTTGATCTCTCACCCAGGCTGGAGTGCAGTGGTGCGATCTCAGGTCACTGCAACCTCCACCTCCCAGGTTCAAGTGATTCTCCTGCCTCAGTCTCCCGAGTAGCTGGGATTACAGGCATGTACCACCACACCCAACTAATTTTTGTATTTTTAATAGGGACAGGGTTTCACGATGTTGGCCAGGCTGGTCTCAAACTCCTGACCTCTAGTGATCTGCCCGCCTTGGCATCCCGAAGTGCTAGGATTACAGGCACGAGCCACTGCACCCAGCCTCTTTCAGTTTTTTTGATGTAGTTATTTAGGGCTGTGAACTTTCCTCTTAGCACTGCTTTTACTGTATCTGCTAGGTTTTGATAGGTTGCATCATTATTGTTCAGTTCAAATAATTGTTTAATTTCCATCTTGATTTCGTTTTTGACCCAGTGCTCATTCAGGAGCAGGTTATTTAATTTCTATGTTTTGCATGGATTTGAAGGTTCCTTTTGGAGTTGATTTCCAGTTTTATTCCACTGTGGTCTGAGAGAGTGCTTGATATAATTTCAATTTTCTTAAATTTAATCAGGGTCATTTTATGCCT
The DNA here is from genome assembly GCF_000001405.40 of Homo sapiens. Lineage (NCBI taxonomy): Eukaryota > Metazoa > Chordata > Mammalia > Primates > Hominidae > Homo > Homo sapiens. Next base: position 165,181,890 of record NC_000005.10, read on the forward strand.
ATCATATGGTCTATCTTGGAGAAAGTTCCATGCCCTGTTGAATAGAATGTGTATTCTGCAGTTCTTGGGTGAAAGGTTCTGTATGTATCTGTGAAGTCATTTGTTTCAATGTATAGTTTAAATCCATTGTTTCTTTATTGGCTTTCTGTCTTGATGACCTGTCTAGTGCTGTCAGTGGAGTATTGCAGTCCCCCACTATTATTGTATTGTTGTCTATCTGACTTCTTAGGTCTATTAGTAATTGTTTTATAAATTTGAGAGCTCCAGTGTGAGGTGCTTATGTGTTTAGGATTGTGATATTTTTCTGTTGGACAAGGTTTTTTACCATTATATAATGTCCCTCTTTGTCTCTTTTAACTGCTGTTGCTTTAAAGTTTGTTTTGTCTGATGTAAGGATAGCTCCCCCCACCACCCTCGCTTTTGGTGTCTTTTTGCATGAAATGCCTTTTTCCACTGCTTTAAGTTTACGTGAGTCCTTATGTGTTGGGTGAGTCTCCTGAAGGCAGCAGATAGTTGGTAATGGAGTTCTTATCCATTCTGCAGTTTACACTCAATGTTAGTATTGAGGTGTGAGGTACTGTTGCATTCATCGTGCTATTTGTTATCTGTGTAATTTATTTTTGGTTTTTGTTTTTGGTTTTTGCTTTTTTAACTTGTATTTTTGTTTTACGGGTTCTGTGTGATTTATGCTTTGAAGACATTCTGTTTTGATGTGTTTTCAGGATTTGTTTCAAGATTTAGAGCTCCTTTTAGCAGTTCTTGTAGTAGTGGCTTGGTAGTGGTGAATTCTGTCAGCATTTGTCTGAAAATGACTGTTTCTTTCCTTCATATATGATGCTTATTTTCACTGGATACAAAATTCTTGGCTGATAATTGTTTTGTTTGAGGAGGCTGAAGATAGGGCCCCAATCCCTTCTAGCTTGTAGGGTTTCTGCTGAGAAATCTGCTGTTATTCTGATACGTTTTCCTTTATAGGTTACCTGGTGCTTTTGCCTCACAGCTCTTAAGATTCTTTCCTTCATCTTAACTTTGGATAACCTGATGACTATGTGCCTAGGCAATGATCTTTTTGTGATGAATTTCCCAGGTGTTCTTTGTGCTTCTTGTATTTGGATGTCTAGGGCTCTAGCAAGGCCAGGGAAGTTTTCCTCAATTATTGCCCCAAATAAGTTTTCCTAACTTTCAGAATTCTCTTCTTCCTCAGGAACACCAATTATTCTTATGTTTCATCGTTTAACATAATCCCAGACTTCTTGGAGGCTTTGTTCACATTTTCTTATTCTTTTTTCTTTGTCTTTGTTGCATTGGGTTAATTCGAAGACCTTGTCTTCTAGCTCTGAATTTCTTTCTTCCACTTGTTCAATTCTGTTGCTGAGACTTTCCAGAGCATTTAGTATTTCTATAAGTGTGTCCACTCTTTCCTGAATTTTTTGTTGTTTTTTTCTTTAAGCTTTCTGATTCCTTGAATATTTCTCCTTTCACTTCTCGTATCTTTTTTTTTTTTTTTTTCTTTTTTCCCTTGCTTTGGCCTTCACCTTTCTCTGGTGTTTCCCTAATTAGTTTAATAGCTAACCTCCTGAATTCTTTTTCAGGTAAATCAGGGATTTTCTTCTTGGTTTCGATCCATTGCTGGTGAACTAGTGTGATTTTTTGGGGGTGTTAAAGAGCCTTCTTATGTCATATTACCAGAGTTGGTTTTCTGGTTCCTTCTTATTTGGGTAGGCTCTGTCAGAAAGAAGGTCTAGGGATGAAGACTGTTCAGATTCTTTTGTCCCATGGGGTGTTTTCCTGATATTAGCACTCTTCCCCTTTTCCTATGGATGTGGCTTCCTGTGAGCTGAACTGCAGTGATTGTTGTCTCTCTTCTGGGTCTAGCCAGCAGCAAGTCTACCTGGCCCCAGGCTGGTACTGGGGATTGTCTTCACAGAGTCCTGTGATGTTAACCATCTATGGGTCTTCAGGTGTACCAGCACCTGTTCCAATGGAGGTGATAGGGGGTTGCAATGGACTCCATGAGGGTTCTTAGCTTTGGGGGTTTAATGCTCTATTTTTGTGCTGGTTGGCCTCCTGCTTTCCCGAGAGCATCAACTGTGGTAGTATGGAGAGGAACTGGCAGTGGGTGGGGCCCTAGAACTCCCAAGATTATATGTCCTTTGTCGTCATGTACCAGGGTGGGTAGGGAAGGACCATCAGGTGAGGGCAGTGCTAGGTGTGTCTGAGCTCAGACTCTCCTTAGGTGGGTCTTGCTGCAGCTGCTGTGAAGGATGGGGATAACGTTCTCAGGTCAATGGAGTTGTGTACCTAAGAGGATTCTGGCTACCTCTGCGGAGTCAGGCAGGTTGTCAGGGAAGCTGGGGAAAACTGGTAGTCACAGGCCTCACCCAGCTCCCAGGCAAGCTGAAGGACCAGTCTCAGTCCCACTACATACCACCCCCCACCCCCAATAACCCTGAGTCTCTTTCCAGGCAGTGGACAAGCTGGGCTTGAGAACTTGCCCCAGGCTACCCACCTCCCAGCTGTGAAAGAAAAGGGCTTGGTTCTTCCCCCACCTATGGAGTCTGCATACCAGATTTGTGCCCTTCCCTAAGTTCTAGCCAGGAGGCTTCTCACATCATTCAAATGGTTAGAAAGTTCCAATTGGAGATATCCTTCTCGCAGTGGTGTTTTCCCCCTCACTCTTCTGGCCACCCTCCCAATGGATCCCTGTGGTCCCAGGCAGGAATGACCTGATTGGAGACCCAGTGGACTCCCAAGGCCTTTCTGCTGCTTCCTCTATCCATGCATTTTGCTCAGCTCTCTAAATTGACTCAGTACCAGTTAAGGTTGGAAATTTCTCTTGCAAACAGACGTTCTTTTTCTCCAGTGAGGATGTGTGTTCAGGAGAGGAGGCTCTCCCTTTTCCACTTCCACAGTTGGAGCATTCACAGTATTTGGGGTGTCTCCCGGGTCCTGCAGGAGCTGTCTGCTTCCTTCAGAGGGTCCGTGGGTCCTCTGGGGATTGCAGGTTTGTTCTTGTAGTTGATCTGGAGCTAAAACTCACAGTGCGAGCCTCTGCATGCTGCTCTGTCCATCTGAGTCAGAGCTGCAATCTAGTCCTGCCTCCTGTCTGCCATGATGAGCCAGTAGCTTCTTATTTTCTTTTGTTATAAAATGTTCCAGCTTATCCAGTACAGTTCCAGCCCTAGGTGTGGAACCAGCTATTTCTCCAAGGAGCTCTGTTATTTTGATCCAGAAGTAGTATTTTAAGGCTACATTCTCAATGCTGGGTCTCATTACTACTGGGTTTGACGTTGGTTCTAGACCCTTTCAGTGGACACACCAAGAAGTTTTATTTTAGGATAAAGTACTTTATGAGATTTTTAAAGATAAAATACATAAGCCTATCTTGTCATTTCCAATTGAATTCAAGTCTACAAAATTGTATTTATCTCTACTACCTTATATCAATATTCCTCCTTCCCAAGCTGAAAAACCCCATTGTGTATAATAACAGAAATGACGGAATATAGTTCCTCATTTGCTTTGTCTTAAAATGCAACAATACAATTTTGAATATCCGTCATCAAGATTATAGTCACAAAAACATTTTACAATTTTGTTTTTTACATTTATTTTTGTTCTTACAGTATATACTACAAAGGCTGTAGTATATGGTCAAATTACTATGTTTTTAAGTCACTTGAATTACTTTTCCTCTATGTGATTATTCCATTGCAATATACATGTAGTCAATACATACACATTTTGGTAAAACTTTAGGAAACTTCTCTGAAAAAGCTGGGACATTAGAGCCAAATTTTGAAGTACCTTATATGGCATATTTAGGTAGATTTTTCTATATTTGGAAGTAAAAGAATACCCAATCTCTAATTGGCTTAGGCAAAAACAGAATCTCTGACTACTATAGATAAAAAGTCCAGAAATATCTCCCCCAGTCACTTGTCCTCTTTGCTCTTGCCCCAACTCTGTTCCTCTTTTTCATGTTTGGCAAAGTTTTTAAGCTTGCTTCCTGTAGTAATCCCCAGAAGGTTTGGGCCTCTAACTTCAGCATTCTAATATCAGTGAAAAATAAACTGCTTTCTTCCTAACAATTCTACACATATCTGGAGCCAAGATTTCATTGGTTCAGAGTGTGTGACATGCCCTTCCCTAAAACAATCACTTTTGACAGGCGATAAAGTGCACCGATTGGCTTAGGCCTGGGCATGTACAAACATTAACTAAGACCGGGAGAGGAAGTTCCTCAACGAAAGTTTCCTGCGTTCTTATCAGACGATGGCAAATTAATGATTGATGATCAACAATAGTAAATTCCAGAGTCATTTATAAAACAGATAATTTGATAATTAAAATATATTTACGATGTTAAAGCTTTATCATCAGATTCCGCAGGTTCACAGCAACTACTGACACTGTATATAACTGGAATTCCACAGACTTTTATTGCTGGAAGGAACGATGGAAATTACTTTGTCCAAGCACTTCGTTTGTAGAGAATGGAACTAAGTCCCAGAAATTTACTACCCAAAAGCCAAAAGGACTTCAATGCATGGGAGTATGGATAGAAGGAAATATATTCTTAGACTGTGAGCAGATGGGCTTGCCTTAGGAAGGTCCCAGAAAATCACATTTTCACTTTATTCTCTTTTTTAACAAAACTTCTATTTTGGGGCATAATTTGGAGTATCCTTCCAACACACTGCCCTCTTCTTTGGCATAATATGAAATATACCCATCATGCTCACTGGAAGTACAGGCCTGAGTGCATATGACTATACTGGCTTTCTCCCCCTGGTGTACAGATAATAAAACTGGAGATAAACATCCATCTTTTGACCAGACAATGAGCCAGAAAAAACATCGCATTCTCAGACAGCAAATTTTTAAACTAGGAGACACATAGATTGAAGTTACCCAAGCAATAAGATTAAATTTAGATACTCATGGAGAGTTGAGGCTAGTAGATATGTTGAATCATAGAGAAATAAGATGAAAATAAGAAGAACAAGGCAAAACCATGGAGAAAGTAAAAAGATCAGTGGCTGCCAGGGGTTGGGGAGGAGGGAATAATGAACAGGTGAAGCATAGAGGATTTGAAGGGCGGTGAAACTATTTTGAATGATACAGGTATACTTCTTTTTGTGCTTCATTTTATTGCACTTTTCAGATATTGTTTTCTTTACAAGTTGAAAATTTGTGGCAACCCTGCATTGGGCAAGAGGTTCAGCGCCATTTTTCCAACAGCATGTGCTCACTTTGTGTCTCTGCGTCACGTTTTGCTAATTCTCACAATATATCAAACTTTTTATTGTTATATCTTTTAAGGTATTTTTCATCACTGACCTTTGATGTTACTATTATAATTGGTTGGGGTGCTACAAACCACCCACTTTTAAGATAGCAAACTTAATCTATGAATGTTGTGTGTATTCTGACTGCTCTACCAACCAGTCATTCCCACATCTCTCTCTGTTTTTTCTCGGGTCTTCCTACAATGGCCTCTAAGTGTTCAAATGAAAGGAAGAGTTGCACATTTCTCACTTTAAATCAAAAGCTAAAAATGATTAGGTTTACTGAGAAAGGCATGTTGAAAGCTGAGATAAGTCAAAAGCGAAGGCCTCTTGCACCAAACAGGCAATTTGTGAATGCAAAGGAAAAACTCTTAAAGAAAATTTAAAGTGCTCCTCCAAAGAACACACAAATGATAAGAAATAGAAACAGTCTTACGATATAGAGATGATATAGAGAAAGTTTTAATGGTCTGTACAGAAGATCAAACCAGCTACAATATTTTCTTAAGCAGAAGCCTAATCCAGAGTAAGGCCCTAACTCTCTTCAACTCTATGAAGGCTGAGAGAGGTGAGAAAACTGCAGAAAAAAGTTTGAAGCTAAAGGAGTTTGGTTCCTAAGGATTAAGGAAAGAAGCCTTTTTTATAACATGAAAGTGCAAGGTGTGTCAGCAGGTGCTGATGGAGAAACTGTGTCAAATTATCCTAAAGATCTAGCTAAGATAATTGGTGAAGGTGAATACACTAAGTAACAGATTTTCAATGCAGACTAAGCAGGCTTATTTTAGAAGAAGATGCTCTCTAGGACCTTCCTAGATAGAAAGGAGAAGTCAATGCCTGCCTAAAAAGGACAGGCTGATTCTCTTGTTAGGGACTAAGGCATTGGGTGACTATAGGTTAAAGCCAATGACTATTTACCATTCTGAAAATCCTAGGGCTCTTAAAAATGATGCTAAATCTACTCTGCCTGTGCTCTGTAAATGGAACAACAAAGCCTAGATAACAGCACATGTTTGTACAGCATAGTTGACTAAATATTTTAAGCCCACTGTTGAGACCCTACTACTCAGAAAACAGCAAAATATTTTTTTAAATATTACTGTTAGTTGACAGTGCACTGCGTTACTCATGAGCTCTGATGGAAAATACAAGGAGATTTATGTAGTTCTCATGCGTGCAAACGTAGCGTTCATACTGCAGCCCATGGATCAAGGAGTAATTTTTACTTTTAAGTCTTATTTAACGCATACATTTCATAAGGCTGTAGCTGCTATAGATAGTGATTTTTCTGATGGATCTGGAGGAAATAAATTGGAAATATTCGGGAAGGGATTCACCATTCCAAATGTCATTAAACTATGTAAGTATATTGTTGATTCATGGGAGGAGGTCAACATATCAATATAACAGGAGTTTGAAAGAAATTGATTCCAACCCTCATGAATGACTTTCATGGGTTAAAAATTTGAGAGGAGCAAGTAACTGCAGATGTGGTAAAAATAGCAGGAGAACTAGAATTAGAAGTGGGACCTGAAGATGTGACTGAATGGCTGCAGTCTCATGCTAACCCTTGAGTGGATGAGGAACTGCTTCTTATGGATGAGCAAAGAAAGTGGAAACTAATTTTTGAAATGGAAACTACTCCTGGTGAGGAGGCAGTGAACATTGTTGAAATGACAACAAAGGATTTAGAATATTACATCAATGTAACCAGTAAAGCAGTGGCAAGGTTTGAAAGAATTGACTCCTATTTTGAAAGAAATTCTACTGTGAGTAAAATGCTATCTAACAGCATTACATGCTACAGAGAAATCTTTCATAAGAGGAAGAGTCAATTGATGTGGCAAACATCACTGTTGTCTTATTTTAAGAAATTGCCACAGCCACCCAACTGTCAGCAACCACCACCCTGATTACTCAATAGCCATCTGCATCGAGCCAAGGTCTTCTACCAGCAGAAAGATATGACTTGCTGAAGTCTCAGATGATTGTTAGCATTTTTTTAGCAATACAATATTTTAAATTATGACCTGATTTTTTGACATAATGCTCGTGCACATTTACTAGACTACATTATAGTCTAAGCATAACTTTTATATGCATTGGGAAACTAAAAAATTTGCCTGTGACTAGCTTTATTGTGATACTCACTTTATTGCAATGATCTGAAACAAAACCAGCAACATCTTTGAAGTATACTTGTACTATAATGACGGATCCTGTGGCAAAAATCAGTTCAGTAACTTATTGAAGATTGTATATGTAGAACGTGGCTGGGCAGGAGTTTAAACTCCAACAATCTGGCTCTGGAGAGCATCCTCTTAACCACGAAATACTGTCTGGGATTGGTTGGAGGCGGGAGAGTATGAAACCTTTTAGAGAAGAAACTCTGTTGAGTTCTTAGCAGCTTTTATTCCAGATCCCATAAATCTACCTAAAGTTTGGTTTCTAGGTCAGTGAGGTTTCTCTACCTAAGCTAACCACTTCCCTGCACCCAAATTGATCTTAGACTGAGATGACTTAATAGAGTAATTTTTATTGTCATTAAAAGAGACCTACATAGTATCTTCATCTGGATACAGCAAGAGCTGGTATATTTTTCCTTCAAAAGAATCATTCAAAAAAATAACTGGGATCTCTGTCCTGCCCAAAGTGAGGATTATAATGTGTATATCTGGTTTTTGATTTTAAAGAATTCATTACCAAGTTTGTAGATACATTCCTATCAACTTTTCTATACAAAGCATGATGCATTAAGAACTATGTAGTGGTCAGTAAATGTTTTTGGACTATATGGAAGTGCAAATCTCCTCTTTTGAAAGTCAAGAAAAGTTGTGTTTATTAGCCCTGTGGGATAAATATCTAGAATAGGATGAGTTTGCCCAATATAGTATAGATCAGTATATGTTTACTTTGAAAGTGAGTACAAGTTTCTATACTAATGACCAAGATAAGTTTATTGAATTGTTCTCTGTGCATTGATAGTTTTAGAATCAGGGCTTTTAAAAATTATTAGTTAGTAGAATTTACTCCCAAGCAAGTGAAAGCAGTGAGTAAAGAATTAAGAAGTAAAAAGCATGGAAACTTCATGCTTTAACAGGTAGCTTCCTTTGAAAAAGTCAAATACTGCATATGATTGTAACAACAGCTGTGCTCAGTTGTTTTATAGGTTCCTTTATATCAAGGTGCAGGCAACAGAAAATTTGAGGAATTCAAAGAGCAAAATATACATGTAAAAGAATGGACGAACTCTAGAGACTGGGCTATTTAACATCTGCCTTGTATTTGGCTTAGAACATGAAGTTAGTGCTCTACTGCTCTCCAGCCATCCCCCAAACACCTCTGAGAGTCAAGTTTTACTTGCCCTAACTTCTCAGAGACGGATGGCTCCCTGTGAGCAGTAGATTCTCCAAGGGAATTTACTGATACTCATTACAATATATTAATCACAGCAGAAGCTCTGTCGGCTAAAGGAAATGGGAAAGGGGGGGTGGGGTCTGAATTCAGAATCCTATAAATCAAAGGCTTAAAAACAAAATTACAAAACTTTACTTACATTTGTCCCTATAGGAAACTTTGGAAGGGAGATTTACTGTGTATTACTTTAACCAAAGGCCAAAGGACGAGTTCCCTGGTTCAAACATCTAACAAACCATATTTCTTTCATGTATGAGTTGTGAAGAACAACTACAAAACTGCTTGGCTCCAAGAAGAGATAGGTACTCTTTTTGTGAAAAGGGCAAATATTGCTTTAACAAATACTTCCGCCGGCAGATTGTTAATGGGGCCATCATGAAGGGCTTATGCGATGATCCAGGAGATAATTGAGAAATTTGGGACGCTTGTTCTTCTCTACCAAATCTGGCTTACGTTATTTCAGAGCCAAGTTGTTGACCTTTTCTTACTTCTTTTGTTAAGCTGTGGTACCAAAAGGCTTATATATTCAAACAATTTTAGAGAACCTTTTTACCAAGAGAAAAGTAGGGTGCTTAAATTTATTGAATACTGCTGCATTTAACCTATTTAATTGGAACACGTTAATTAGATCTAATTGCAAAGTTGTTTTAATTGGAAAATCAAGCATTGCACTGATATTGGTGTGCATGATTAAACAAAGTAACTGAGGTCACCAGTAGATTGTATAAGATTCAAGCCTGTGATTGATTAAGTATGAAAGTTAATCAATTTAATTTATGTGATTGATGTTGATTCTTTCATTTTGAAATTGCCTGTTTGTATCTTATTTTTATCAAGATACTGTGTGTGGAATGTCAAATAAACTACAGTAACACTTCAATCTGTTTATTTTCGTATAATGATGTGTTTATTTCTGATCTAAGTAATTTTAACATGGCTTTTGTGTCACTAATTAAGATTTTCAAGTTACTCAAGATAAAATTAGGTTTTCTATTAAGAAAATTTAATTTTCTTGAGGAAATAATTCAGGCAACATGGGAAAATTAACCTATTAGTTCCATTAGTAGAGTTGATGGTTTATTGCCTTAAAACATATGCCATGCAGCTCAGGAACAAAGGTGTCCCTTTTTTAATCATCTCAGTGTCAATATGCTTCATGCTTCCTGATGACTATGAGGATAATTGTAATAATAATGAGAAGATGAACATTTATGTAGTACTTATTATGTACCAGGCATTGTTCTAATTTCATTAAATATAATAACTAACTTGATAATTTAAATTACGTAAAAGCATTTGCTTCTGGGAACTTACTTTTATCAAAGTCACAGTACTAACATCTTCTCATATATTAGATACTGTCTCCAGCACAGTTGCAAACATATATGGTTAAGCCGTTGCAAAGTAAAATTATTTGCCTAGGTCATATAGGGAGTAGGCCTTTGATACATTTTCATATTTAACATTGAGGAAATTGACCTAATTCATATGATTGAATCCATACCTTGTTTCAGTCAGGGTTCTCCATATATAAAAATGCAACGTTGAGCTACATTCCTGGCATATAATGCTGAGTTGTTGCTCTCAGCTAATGCTCCCTGTCATTCCACTTATTGTTAAGAGAGAGGTCTTTTAAAGATTTCTTTTAAGGAATTGGCTAATATGATTGTAAGGAGGGTGGCAACTCCAACGTCTGTTGGGCGGGCTGGCAGAGTAGGCATGCAGGTAGGAGATGATGCTGGAGTGTTGAGTCTGAAATCTGTAGGGCAGGTCAGCAGACTGGCAACTCAGACAGGAGTTCATGCTGCAGTCTCAAGGTAGAGTTTCTTCTTCTCCAGGAACCTCACGTTTTGCTACATCTACAGGTTAACCATGTCTATAGGTTAGCAAAATCTACAAAATGCCTTTACAGCAATAACTAGAAAAGTGATTAAATGACTGAGTGCCATAGCCTAGATGAATTGACACAAAATTAAGCATAACATAGCTTGACTTTATATGAATGGAATACCAAGTTGTGTAGGAGTCATGGGAATTAATATATAATTAAATATAGTGAAACATAGATATAGCACTGTTCTGAAGCTAGATAACAGAACCAATAACTTGGTAATAGGCTTGCCGTATTAAACTTGCAGCATACATTGAAGTTTGGTTCACTGAGCAACTTTTCTAAACTTTTCTTTCTCTTCAATTTTCCAAATTCTTGCCACCTGGGGCTATGGCAGTTTTGGCCCAAAACTCATAAGCAGAAGTCTGCTAAAAAAGGGATGTTATCATAAAGAAAGCTTATTTTTCTTCCTAAAGAGAATCATTGCTGCTGCACAAAATTTCCTATTCCCTTTCCTCTTGTCTGAACTAGAGAAATAAAGCCTCGAAGAGCAGCAATTACTGGCAACCATGGGTACAAAATTCAACATCCTAAAGGTGACAGAGCCGTAAGATAGGAAGAGCTGGCTTCCTGGTGGATAATGCTAAATTGTTGCTCTAAGCCAAGACTCCCTGTCACTCTACTTCTTGTTATATAGGAAAGAAATCAATCTCTGTTTTAAAGCTATTGCAAGATGTGTTTCCTGGGCTTTTATCTGTTTCCATTTTTTGTTGGTATCTGGACACAATCCTAACAAAGTTTTTACTTGATTTATTAGTAAAGGGAGAATGAATTTATGAGTTTACATTTATTGTATATGCAAAGCAAATTTTGATATAGAATTGAACCACCATCTTTGATAAGCAAAGTCTTTATATCAGGAGGAGCAACTCTAAAAGAATCTTAAAGTATTACAAACTTTCCGAAGCAAAATCAGGGCTCTTACAAGAATATGCAATGTTAACTGTAAGGAACTATGAAATCATCTACATAACCTGCCATATTCCTACTCTTACTCCTTAGTCACTGATATTACTAGAAGTTAATGTCTAAGATAAAAGATAATAAGACCTATTTTTTTAATTTTTGGAGGGGAACACTCCAACTATCGGTTTAAGAAGGATTAACAAGGAAGTTAGTGGCAAAGGTAAACATGAAAGTTGTATGAAACTTTTTAGAATTAATGCTATATACATTTTTAAACTGTGTTCTAGATTAACTCCTCCCCTCTATAGAGGTGAGAGGGAATGATAGTGGTGTGAAAAATATAATTTCACCTTTGCCCTGGTCTTGTATAATGTTTATCATTTAGTACATAGCCATGAAGAAATATATACTAGATCATTGAATCCAGTATAGCAAGTGAGTTAAATGTGCAAAATTCTAGAGATATTTATGTCAGAAGTACATATAGGAGAACTGACAAAAATAGCAAGAACTTAGTCTTAAAAGAAGTTTCAAGACAATGCCCCTGAATTCTGTGAGATCTTGAAGTGTACAAATAAAAAGAAAACCAGTTTACTTAGCAAAATTAAGACTACAAGAATGAGACTTATAAGTATAAAAATTTGTATAGAAATATACCTCTCGAAATTTTAAGATCCTAGGTTATTCACACATGTACATGTGTGTGTAAGTGTGTGTGTGATGTAAAATAAGGAAAGAAGCTTCATTCCAAGGGTTTTCACAATCTGGAGGTATTAATATAGACAGAACTTGGCATTTCCATGTATTAGTGTCACCTTCTCTGTGTTCGCAACAACTTCCTCCAGTCTTCAAAAGTCTGGGACCTCAGTGTCAAGCAAGTGACATGTAGACAGTCGGTACTATGTATAGTGGAGACATAAGTCAGCATGTATAAATCTGGTGATTTTACATAAGATTTCCTATTTCTTAGTTCTCTTGAATATAGAGAAAATGTGGCAGCACTTGATTTGCAGTGCAAGATGGCATCAATAGGAAGGAGCCAATGAATGGGTGCCCTAATAGACTGGGCATGCAGTCAGAATTCACAGCAGGCCTCACTGTTCTCCCCAAAAGTGAAATGCTCAGTCAGGTATCATTAATCAGGGAACTTGAGTTGTTGTCTTGGTATGGAAGAAATACAGAAATATGTCTCTATAGCCACATCTCTATTGAAAAGGGAAAATGAAACATAGACCAAAAGGACCTCGTAGTTCAAGAAAAATGGGATAAGACATAATTTATTAAAAGACTAAACCATATTATAACATGTTTAATAGCAAATTGACAGTATATTTAGAACTATGCTGCTTAATACGGTTATCTTAGCCATATGCAGCTCTTGAGCATTTGAAATGTGGCTAGTCCAAATTGAATATGTGCTGGAAGTTGAAATGAACAGCAAATTTTGAATAATTAGTGAAAACAGAATGTGAAACATTTCTGGAATAACCTTTAAATTGATTATATGTTAAAAGAAAATATTTTTATACCATTAGTTATATAAATTATATTACTAACATTAATCTCATTCATTTGTATTTTTCTTTTTTTTTTTTTTTTCTTGAGGCAGTCTTGCTCTGTCACCCAGGCTGGAGTGCAGTGGTGCTATCTTGGCTGACTGCAGCCTCCGCCTCCCAGGTTCAAACGATTCTCATGCCTCAGCCTCCCAAGTAGCTGGGATTACAGGCACCTGCCACCACGCCTGACTAATTTTTGTACTTTTAGTAGAGACAAGGTTTTGCCATGTTGTCCAGACTGGTCTCGGACTCCTGACATCAAGAGATCCTCCCACCTCAGCCTCTCAAAGTGCTGGGATGCAGGCGTGAGCCACCGTGCCTGGCCGGTATTTATTTTCTTACGAAGTTACTAGAAAATTTAAAATTCCATGGGTTTCTGGCAAATGCCACTTGGCTGTAAGCTGTGATATATTTCTATCGGACAGTGCTAATCTAGAATATACATCTAACCTAACCATCCAACTTCACTCATTTTTCTTACCACTCTGGCATTTATAGACTTATAAAAATTTTAGCCCCTTTGTATAGGATTAAATTTTGTAGTATTTCTGTTTAATCATATGAAAAGTAAAAAATTTAAATCTATGGAAATAAGAAATAACTAGATATTTTTAAGAACCATGGAAGCTGGGCACGGTGGCTCACACCTGTAATCCCAGCACTTTGGGAGGCCAATGCAGGGCAATCACCTGAGGTCAGGAGTTTGAGATCAACCTGGCCAGGATGGTGAAACCCCGTGTCTACTAAAAATACAAAAATTAGTCAGGTGTGGTGGTATGTGCCTGTGGTCCCAGCTACTCGGGAGGCTGAGGTGGAAAAATCACTTGAACCTGGGAGGCAGAGGTAGTAGCGAGCCAAGATCACGCTACCGCACACTCCAGCTTGGGTGACAGTGTGAGACCGCCTCAAAAACCACACAAAAACAAAACAAAACAAAACAAACAAACAAACAGAAAATACCATGGAATTTGTTTGAAAAGTTGGGAACATCACAAATAATTTCCATAAACTGTCTCTTAGAACAACAGACTCGTTGTACTTAGCTGTCATAATTTAGAATTGTTTTATTCTTAGAAAGTAAAGATGTCTTTGAGATAATATTAAGCAGTTATAATTCAGGATTATCAACGATATCGAAATGTTTTAAACTGTATAGACACAACTTTAAGATAATATACTGCAGATCTACAAACCATTATGTGTATTAGATTTCAGATTTTATGGATGTTTTAAAGGGTTATCTCATTTCTGTATATTACTGCATGTTACCTTATATTCACAGTGAAATCCAGGGCAGTATCCTGTATGAAAAACCTGACTATTTCTCTAGTGAAATGTATGAACATTCACAATAAATAGAATAAATGGAGTGGGCTAATTGTGTCATTTCAGTCCAAGTTAGAACTATATGCGAGATAGGTTGAGGTCAGGATCGATTTTGCCACAAAATAAATTCTGAAAAAATCTTTTGGTTTCCAGATATTTTGGGATTTTGGAAGTGTGGGTAAGGAGTTGGGAAGTTGTATTGTGTTAATACTAAATTACTGAACTAGATTTATTCTTTAATCACCTTTTTAACTCAAAAAGGAACTGTAACAGTGTATTTTTGGCTTCCTTTTCTTCTTATATGTTAACTGCCACAAAAGTATGTATTGGAATTATTTGGTTTTATGATGCTATAAGAGTAAAAAAATCAAATAATTCTTGTATAACTAGCAGGAAAACAAAACCTATGCCATTAAAATATTCAGGTACCTGAAGACTGACTGACTTATTTTATCACTTCACCTTTTCTATAAGTCAAAATTTTCATTAGTTCTTTACGGTCTTTAAACACAGTTTTCACCCAAACTAAGAGGAGATAGAAAAAGAAAAATAGGGATACAAATCTGCAATTTAAACTTAAACACAGAAAGCCTTTTCAGTAGGAATTATCCATTTTAATGTTACTATTTTAAAATACCAAAAATTGTTCTTTTTATTTTCCGAATCTAAGACCCAAACTTTTTTTAATCTCCTGAAAACCACTAACAGTTGTTTTATTACTTTAAGGAAGCGACACTGAAAAATACTGTTGAAATAATGTTGTATTATCCTGTATCTTTTCTTTGGTGTTTAAACATACGCTTTCTATTTTTCTCTCTCCTTCAATAGTCTTAATCCAGGCCATAATAAATTCTTTGTCCAAGCTCCAACATCTTTTGAACAATCCTACCCTCCGCATTCTTCCTGTGTGGATCCTGTTCAAGGCCAAATTCACCACATGGCTGTGGTTACCTCTTACTGCACCCTTATTCTGTGCCAGATCCTTAGTTAGGCACTTTTTAGATCCCTTTTTATTTTTATCATTGAATTTTTGCAACAAATTTTGATTATAAAATGGTATTCAGTCAATCAGAATTTATGAAACTTGCCCAAAGTCAGGAATCTGCTCAAAATTGCAGTTAAGATTATAAATTCTGTCTGAATTTCTTTTTTTCTAAATGTCATTCTCTTTCAGGGGAATAAGCACCAATTAACTAAATCATTAAATCACTTTCTATATCTTCTAGAGAATATTCTAGGGAGTTCACCAGGGTGAATTCAAACATACTCCATGTACATAGTAATTTATATAATTGTGCTACAATGTTAAAGCTATAAAAGAAGTGCAGGTTTTATTTGTTTTTATTATCAGCACAGGTCAACATTCAATTTGGATGTCATTTCTTTCTCTAGACTATTATTTCTAGCTAGAATTCTCAGTCCATGTTGAATATTAAATAGAAGTGGTGAAGCACCCTGGAATACTATGCAGCCATAAAAAAGAATGAGATTATGTCTTTTGTGGGAACATGGGTGGAGCTGGAGGCCATTATCCTTAGCAAACTAACACAGGAACAGAAAACCAAATACTGCATGTTTTCCCTTATGAGTGGGAGCTAAATGATGAGAACTCATGAACACAAAGAAGGGAACAGCAGACACTGGGAACTGCTTGAGGGTGGAGGGTGGGTTGAGGGAGAGGAGCAGAAAAAATAGCTATTGGGTACTAGGCTTAGCACATGGGTGACAAAGTAATCTGTACAACAAACCCCTGTGACAAAAGTTTACCATATAACCTGTTCACCTGCCCCAGAACCTAAAATAAAAGTTAAAAAAGAATTGGTAAAGTAGATATCTTATTTTTTTGTGGAGGGGAAAAAAACAGTCAGTATATCAGCATAAAGTATGATGTAAGCTGTAGCTTTTCTGTGTATTACTTTTATTAAGTTGAGAAAATTCTATTACTGCTTTGCTGATGGTTTTTATCAGGAATGGAGGATAGATTTTCTTAAAGGCATTTTCTATATTTATTGAAATAATGTGTTTTCTTCTTTTTTTAAACAGTTTGTTAATATGGTGGACTACATTACTTTTGAATGTTCAACCAGCCTTGCATTCCTGGGATAGACTCCACTTGGTCATGATGTGTATTCCTATTTAAATGTTATTAGATTTATTAAAATCATGTTTGAGAGTAAGCATCTATGTTGGTCTGTAATTCACTTTCCTTGTATAACAGCTATAAGGTTTTTAATCAAGGAGAGGCTAATCTCATAGACTGAATTGGGAAGTATACTCTTTCCTAAAATATTCTGGACAAGTTTATGTAAAAATGGTATTATTCTCCCTTCAATGTTTCATAGACATCATCTTGAAGATCTCTGGCCCCTAGCATTGTTCTTATGGAAAGGTTATTAACCACAACTTGAATTTATTTAGTAGATACAAATCTCTTCAGTTTATATATTTCTTCCTGAGTGAGCTTTGCTAGTTTGTGTCTTCCTTTAACGTTTAAAGGGCTTTTTCCTTTTCATCTAAGCATGGACTCTATCAGCATTAAGTTTTTAATTTCTGTAAAATCTGCAATAATGCCACCACTCCCATTCAAAATATTGGTAATTTGTGTCATTTCACAGGTCTTTTCTAACTGGTCTGGAGAAAGGGTTGACAATTTTATTGATCTTCTCAAATAACCATTTTTGTTTCATTTTTTTCTGTACAGTTTCTGTTTTTGATAGAATTAATTTCTATTCTTTATACTTTTTTACTTCAGCCTAATTTCAGTTTACTTTCTCCTATTTTTCTGGTTTCTTAAGGTAGATGCTGAGGTCATTAATTTGACGTTTTCCTCCTTTGTTAACACAGGTATTTAATACTACAAATTTTCTCCTAAGCACTGCTTTACAAACATCCAACATAGTTGGTAATTTGTGTTCTCTTTTCAATCAGCTCAAAATACTGACTACTTTTTCTCTTAAATGCTTTTTGACTTACGGGTCAAGAAAGATGGTATGTTATTTAGTTTTCAAATTTTGTATTTTGTTCCAGAGATCTTTTTGTTTTTAATTTCTATTTTAATGTGGTCAGAGAAAAAATTTGTAGGCCTAAGTATTTTAAAATTTAATGATATTTGTTTTATGGTACAAAATACAGTCTATATTGGAAAATATTTGGTGTGTACTTCAGAAAAATGTAAATTCTGTTGCTCTTTGGTAGAGCACTTTATAATGTCAAATAGAAAAAGCTGGTTAATTGTGTTGTTTAAATGTCCTATACCCTTATTCATTTTTCTGTCTACGTGTTGTGTCAATTATTGAGATGGGATATTGAAATCTTTATGTAAATTTTTTCTTAGAGTTTTGTCTTTTTAATCAGTTTCTGCTCCATGTATTTTTAAGTTTTATTATGAGGGGCTTAAGCCATTTGTTTTGTTATATCATCTTGATGAAGCACTTCCTTTATCTTTTTTTAGAAAAGAACTTCTTTATTCCTGGTAGTTACTTGAACTGAAATCAATTTTGTCTAATAATAAATTGCATTTTTTTCTCCTTTTTAATTAGTATTAGCATAACATATTTTTTATTCTTTTATTTTTAATTGATTTGTGGTTTTATATTTAAGGTGTGTTACTTGTAGGCAACATCTTGCTTTTTTATCCATTTTGATAATCTCTACATTTTAATTGAGGACATTTAGACTATTTCTTTTTAATACAATTATTAACATGCTTAGATTTAAAGGTATCATTACAATATTTATTGCCTAATAGTCCTGTCTGTTCTTTGTTTCCTTTTTCACCTTCCAGGGTTTCTAGATTAATTATATTTTTATGATCCCAACCTATTCCCTTTAAAAAATTTTTTAGTTATAATGCTTCGCTTTATTACTCTAGTGCAATAAGCAACTCTTTAAACATAGGGACCAGTAAAGACTGCCTGCTTTTAGCATTTCCATTCAACCTTTTACTGAAGGTCTTACCCAGACAGTAATGCATGAAATAAAATAAATTGTAAAATAATTATAAAGGAAGAATCAAAATTGAAAGTACCTTCAGATGACTGCTTATCTTGAATACCCCAAAGAATCAATGAATAAATTATTTGAATCAGGGTTTTCAGATTTAAAGTTATTATAAAATGATTGGTTTTATTCACTAACAATTTTTAGAGAAGTATTATTTTACATTGCATGTTTATGTCGAGATGTTGAGGCTATAAGCATTTGTGTACGAAGTGTCCAAGATTTATGGTTGGTTGTCTCTGATAGGTTTCTCTACCTTGTTCAGCCCTGATTTTGTCTGTGAAACTTATTTCCCCTAAATTGCGTGAGACTATGAAAACTAACTCTCAAGTTCATCTGTTTGGTAAACATCTTGAGGCAAAATCTCCGCTTATTTTTCACTCAGTACCTCACCTGAGTCTACCTCACTTTCTTGCCAAAGAATTGTGCTATGGATTTATTTTAGTAGATTACAAATAATTTATCCAGTAATTTTAGTTGTTTTAATGAAAGGATTTGTCTGTTTTCTGTCATATTTCCAGAAATGTTTAACCTGTATAATTCCCACATTGTACAATTCACTCTGTATAACTCCTACAGTGATACAGTGAGGATCACAAGAAAGATTTTGGTAACTCCAACTCAGGAAGATTAAAATTAACCATGTAAATAATTTACTATCTGTCTCATAACTTACATGACAGAAGATACATTAAAAGTTCTTTTGTCTCTTAGCCTAGTGCACTTAAAAGTAGTACTTTGAATTAAATACAAAAATAAACCGAGTACACAATATAGTAAAACCATTTCTTTACTGTATTCCGGTACAATTATATACATTTAACTTAAACTTTTATTATATTTTTGATTAGGTCTATTTTTAACCTAACTATTTAAGAAAAATCTATCGAATACTTACCATGTTCTTGCTCCTGGTAAGTAAATAAATCATGAACCTATAGTCCCTGTCTTTCTAGGTTATGACTCTTAGGTTGCTCATAATAGAGCACTTAATTCACTCTGGCTTAAAAATAAAAGATAATTAATTGTTTTATATGACTGAAAAATGCAAACATAGGAATGACCTCAGATAAGATTTGATTCAGCAGCTCAATAAAGTAAGCTAGAATCTTACTTTTCTCTGCTCTAACTACAATGATGTGGGCTTCTCCACCAGCCTCCAAGTAGCATACCGTCAGCCCTGCTTGTATAGGCTTTCCCTTGCATAGCAAAGTCTAGGTTTCATATTCTGACATCATAGTCCCCATGAAAAAACAAACAATATCCTCTGCTAATAGAAAGCTAAGAAAGAGAAAGTACAAAGTTTTCTCTCCTAGAAAACCCTAACAAATATATACCCATGTTGCATCAGCCTATTTGGATATTAGTATGTGACTGAAACAGTTACTGTTGAGGTTATGGGTCATGCTGTCTGGAATGAGCCTGGAATTGAGGATGGCTTTGACTGGTCGTTTGGTAAGTAAACCATATGACTGATAATGACGGTTGAGAGAGGAGGGGTTTTGAAAAGATAATTCAGAAAAACTATTAACAATAAGGAAGGTGAATAGAGGCTGGGGGAAAAATATTTCTGTCTTTCATGCTGGTAGAGACAGCATCTCACTTTGTCACCCAGGCTGGAGTGCAATGGCACAGTCATATCTTGCTGCAGCCTCAAACTCTGGACTCAAGCAGTCCTCCCACCTTGGCTTCCCAAAATGCTGAGACCACAGGATGAGTCACTATTGCCTGGCTTGAACTAGGAACTTTAAGTCATCACTAAATATTGTTGAATTATTGAGTGTAGTCAAGTAAAATAGTCAAATCTTAAACAACTTGTCTCTCCTGATATTAGAAGAGACTTCTCTGACTGTACTTTCTTGTGATATATGTTTCTGCTTGTTTAATGTAATCATAGGATTCAGATTTATTCCTATAAATTTTTATAATGTTGATCTTTCACAGTCATTCTAGTTTGTTGAGCCTTTTCAGAATGCTAATTCTGTCAACTGTCATATTTCCTTACCCTCCTAGTCTGAGGTCACCTGAATATCTGATAAGCAAGTTTACTTTATCTCTATCCACTATGTAGATAAAATATTTCACAGGACAAGGCCATATGGTTTTACTTTTTTTTGGATCATTGACAAAAGCTTCAGTAAGTAACCACTAGTACATGATAAAATTAAGATATGAATATATACAGTTTTTCTATTAGTGCCTATGTCTGCTTAAGTTAGCAGAGTCAAGAAGCATTCCCAATTGCATGTGATTATGCTCAGGACTGAGTAAGGATAAGAAATAACACAAGGGTCGGGTGGATGTGTTGTACAGATTTCATGGTAAAATTTTAAAGAGACAATGATTTTACATTTTGATGCATCCATTTCAACCATGCCAAAATAAACAAAAGATGTTCCAGTGTTTACATATGCGTTATGTATCTGTTGGTTCCCATGCTGTAAAACTACCTACGGTGAGTTACTGACCATCTACTAACAACCCACTCTTCCTTCCCAATTGGTCTACTGCTCTGATAGAGGAGTTTCTGAGTTTTAATTTGTTCACCTAACCTTTTATGTGACCTTTGATTAGCCCAGCCTGCTGTCATGTCTATCCATATGTCATATGGTATATCAATATACCATATGATATCAATATACCATATGATCCCATGTTGAGTGGGGCACGCTGGATGAATCACATAATTTGTCTATTGACGGTTCATTTCTCTGGAAAATATTGGCATTTGATACTACCAGGAATAAAGGAAAGCTTTCAAATCAGGAAAAATGCAGGTGGAAGACTTAAGACAGCAAACCCTCTAGGTAAAAGTTTGTACAGATTCTTAAGGGGAATCCTTTTTTGTTATTCTGCCTAGAGCCAAGGCCAAAGCAGAAAATTTCTGTGAGTATCCTTCTTGCCTACCTCTGTTTTCGTTATTTTTGTTTTATTGTTTGTTTGTTTGCTGTTCTTGTTGAAGGCCACACCACATCCCCACCTAGACCAAGGCCCTCTCTCTTACCCTTGAATGGCCATCACAACTCAAGCCTCTAGGTTAGATATTTCCCTATGCCTCAGGATAGCTGTAGCAATGGCCCCCTGCTCTGCATTTCAGCTATCTTTCTTCATTTTGACCTCTCATGCAAATGCTCCCAATTACTTTCGCCGTTATTCATTTGTTTTCTTTACCCTCTTTAACCATCATAACTGAGAGCATTGTAACATTAAGGTATAAAACTAGGACCTAATTAATTTCTCTGAATCTAAATTAATATCCTTCTTCTGAATTATTATTTGTATTATTCTATACTTTTCAAATTGTGTATATGTAATTTTTTAATTTCATCATTCTGTTCAACTCAACACAAGATATTCTTTTCAGAGTCACTTAAAGTACATATTTGTAGCTTTCATTTGGGATGGGACACTCCCCTGGTAATTCATTTTAAAAAAAGAGCCTGCCTGTGCTCATTTTGAGTCCTATCTTTATATTATGTTGCCATATAATATTAATACATTATGGCTAAAAGAATATACTTTATAAGATATCCTTAGGACATAATTTATTTTGCTTAGTTTTCAGTGCTTAGCTATGTGAATCTTGAAGACATTATGATTAACTTTATTTATAAATTGTGATACTGAAAACTATGCATTGCAATACAATTGCATTTGTCATTTTGTTACTGTTTTTCCTTTCCATATTGAAGGAAGTATGTAGAATGTGCACAGCCATATTTATTTGCCAATATCAGGAATTCAGAGAAAAAAGATATAGTAAGGGAAATCAAGGTTATAACCTTTGAATTTAAAAATACTTCTCACTCACTCTGGGAGGCCGAGGCAGGCGGATCACAAGGTCAGGCGGATCACGAGGTCAGGAGATCGAGACCATCCTGGCTAATGCGGTGAAATCCCATCTCTACTAAAAATACAAAAAATTAGCCGGGCGTGGTAGTGGGCGCCTGTAATCCCAGCTACTCAGGAGGCTGAGGCAGGAGAATGGCGTGAACCCATTGACGGAGCTTGCCGTGAGCCGAGACCGCGCCACTGCCCTCCAGCCTGGGCAACAGAGCCAGACTCTGTCTCAAAAAAAGAAAAAAAAAATACTTCTCACTGTATGAATTACCATCCTCCCTAATTTGGCCTATAAATATTCTGCTATTCCATATATTACATATATGTGTATATTATATATTGTCTATATTTTATATACATGGAATCAAAATATTTATAGGCCAAAGAGATGATTGAGCATCTCCTTCTGCATTCATCACAGTGAAAATCTCTTATCAAAAGTACACTTTTGAAAATTCGCATGTCTATTTATTTCTTTTGAACAACTTGATGATAGATTTAAAGCTTTAAAAAATGAACAAAATAATTCTGTCTCAAAACAGGAATATTTTTGGCAGGTATCAGGACAATACAAACTTAAATTTTTCACATAATAGTCTTTTCACAATTCAACTTGACCTTGAATGTGATTGCTTTTCCAGCAGCAAGTGCTGTTCTTAAATATATGATGCCTACCGTGTTGTCAGGTGGGTGGCAGATCTGAAATGTGCAAAATGAGAAACAGACATACAGCTAGGTGCATAGTGTTTGTGAAGGCCAGATCCAGTCCTGTTGCAATAAAGTGTTAACTTGAAAGGATTGTTAACCATGAAAAACTCCCCCACCTTTTACTCAGCTATACCTAAATTCAACTGGCTAATGTGGGTGCTACTGCTTTGCTTCAGGTGAAATTCATATGAACTATAAATGCTTGATCAGGAATATTTCCCTGGCTTTGCCTAGCAAGAGAGACCCAGTGAGAGAAAAACTCTAGGCTAGAAGCATCCTGCCGACCAATTGTTCTAGTCTTTGGCTCAGAAATGAGGAAAGAAATGGAGCACCATTAGGCTGCATGGAGAGTTTAGGCTTCTTGACATTTGTTTCCCTTTAAAGGCCTCTTAATAGTGTTGATTTATTGTCCATTTATTTCCTACCAAAGGAAACGAAAATCTTCCAACCTGAAGATAGCAATCTCCTTTCTCTGTTTTCCTTTTAGAAAGCCTTGATATTAAGTCCCAGGCAATGTTGAAATTGGTCTGATTATTTGCAGTGCCAGGATGAGAGGCATCAGCAGGTTCTTATAAGTAAGGTTGCAACTTGGGTTAGAATGAGAACTACAGGAGGATAATTCAGAATAGACTTAGGTGAGAGCTAGAGACCTGGATCCAGATAAGTGGGACTAGGAGAGCACTGTGTGATTTCTGAGTCACAGAACAAGCCAGTGAAACTGAACATGGCATCTTGGAACGATTTTAAAATTAGAGAGATGAAGAATTTTCTTCAAGAACACATACCAAGATATCACTAAATACAGAGGCCGATCCTCATTTATGCCTTTCTTGGCAAAACAGGAGTAAGGCTCAAAGGAAGCCAGGTCAAACAAAATAGTGAATCAGATGAATGCAAATAAGGTGACAGTAGCACATGAGAATGGGTGGCTTCAAATGTATTTGTTCCTTTAACAAGTATTTACTGAGCCACTATTTTTTGGTTCCAGCCACTAAGCACAGAGCTAGAGAGACTATAGTGTATAAAACCAGACAAACCCTGGAATCTCCATTCTAGTAAAAAAAAGAAAAGAATTATGCACATAAATATCAAATTAGAGCTATATTATTGCTAGAAAGGAGAGTGAGGTGATAAGAAACCACACTTAACTATGTACAGAGAATGATTCCTTGAGAGAGAGAGTTTTGAATTGACATGGAAAGAAACAGTAGGAGTTTGTTAAATGAAGGAGGGAGGGAGAGAAGAGAGATCTAGGCAGAGAAAACTGTCTGCCAAAGACCCTGTGACTGGAGGGAATATATCAGTTATAAAGCATTAAAAATACCCAGAGTGGCTGAAGATAAAGAATAAAAATAAGTATAAAAAGAGACGAGGATCCAGAGTCTGATTATTCAGGGTTTTGTAAGTCACATAACAAAACTTTATCTGTATTTTAAGAGAACCAGCAGCTAAACTTCAAAGAAGGGACTGAGTATCACTAAGAACAGATGTAGGCCTCCTGGTAAGGTGGCACTTTTTAGGAGTAAAGAGAAGCAATGATGACAGGTTGATCCAGGGTGCAACTGGAAGAGAATGAAAGGATGGGAAAATACCAGAATGGGGAAAATACATTTGCGGGAAAAATTTTGTGTGCAAATAGAAGCAATTACAACCAGGTAACACCCCTCCCCCTACACTGCCGCTGTAAAACAACATTTGTCAGAGGTTGTTCCCAGTGCTAAGCCCAGTATATCTTGAAAATAAATGTATAATGTCACTCTCTGGTTCAGCTTCAGAATTTTTAAATGGCTCTTATTGTGATAAGAATAAATCAGAATGGAAACTGCAGGTGCAAGGAAGTCATTGAAAGTACCTGGGAAAGAGAAGTGTGTGGGGCAAAGAGGAAGCAAAAACTTTGCCAGGAAATTAAGTTATTTCTTTCCTCAATGTTTCTTTTCCTGGAGTGCATGTAAAGCAATATATCCTGCTCCAGCTCGTGTGATTATGTGAATGGAGACGGAGAACAAAGAGGGGTAAAGAATGGTGGTAAAGATAATAGAAAACTGAAACATCCTAGAATTCTGCCACTCAACTTTTGTTTGGCCTTGTTAGGTGGCTTATTCGAAATGCAGAATCTCAGGCCAAAATTCAATCCTACCAGATCAGAATGTGTATGTTAATAGAGCTCTAGGTGATTTGGATGCACTCTCAGGCTTAGAAATTACTGTTTAAATAACGTCAATTTGCATCTCTGAGATAGGGTGTGGGGTTCTATATTCCTACACATCATTTGGCAAATTGGGGTTCTTTGCTGCTCAACCTTCTCCAACATACAGATTTACAAAACGGACCTAAAGCTTATTTTTAAGTGTGTGTATGCTTGAGCACTTCATTGGTCTTAAGTCTGTTTAATGAGATTCAAAATTGCAATAAAAGAGCAAACCAATGACAATGAATGAATGTGAAATGTAAAAATGACTGCACGAAAGGAAAATTGATAATAATGACAAATGAAGAGGGAAAACATAACTCAGAGCTCACGTGCAATAGAAAGAAAATCCCACGTGAAAGGTTGAGAAAAAGAATATCCTGCTAACGTTAGGCGTAAGTCAGAAGCTCAGAGACTTCCTTTCAAGTTATCTGTCTATGGATGTTCTTACAACTTTCCCCTTTTTCCTTCAAAAACAAATTGACTATATTCCAGTTACCTGCTACTACATAACAAAACACACTAAAATTTAGCAGCTTAAAATAACAACTTATTATCTCTCATGGTTCTGTAAATTGGGTGAGATCATTTGGGTGGTTCTAGCTTGGGTTTTGTTTTTTCAGTCAAATGGAGTTTGGGTTGAGTATATTTCACTGGTCCCTATGTCTAAGGTAGTTCATCGGGTGACTGGCAATTGGTGCTGGTTGTCTTTTTTTTGTGTGTGTGAGATGGAGTCTCACTCTGTCACCCAGGCTGAAGTGCAGTGGCATGATCTCTGCTCACTGCAACCCCTGCCTCCCAGGTTCAAGCGATTCTCCTGCCTCAGCCTCCCGAGTAGCTGGGAATACCGGCATTTACCACCATGCCCAGCTATTTTTTTTGTATTTTTAGTAGACACAGAGTTTCGCCATGTTGGCCAGGCTGGTCTCGAACTCCTGACCTCAGGTGATCCTCCTGCCTCAGCCTCCCAAAGTGCTGGGATTATAGGCATGAGCCACCATGCCTGGCCTGGTGCTGGTTGTCTTCTGGTTGTGTGTTGATTGGAATGACTACAGATGTTTTCTCCATGTCCTTAGCTTCTCATTGCAGAGAAGGAGGAAGAAGGAGAGAAAAGGGAAGGGAAGAGACAGCTGGGGAGGGGTCAGGGGGAAGGAGAATGAATTGGAGGGAGAGAGCAGAGAGAGGACAGAGGAAGAGAGAAAGAGATACTTATAAAGAACACTAGAGAAACTTGAGCAGAATTTCCACAGGTAGAACAGAATATATAATCACTACAAATTAGATGCTGTTTTTCACCCCTCCCTAAATATAGATTTCATTTGCATCATCATCTCGTCTGCTAAATGTCATTTTTAAAATGTGAATTTTTAAATGTCAGCTAACAAGGAAGTTTGATACTCAGTCGCTGCTGTTATTCGAACTCCACCAGTCTATTATTAAGGACTTTTTAGCAGCTGATTGCTGATATTTCCAATTAAGACTTGGTTTGTGTAAGTCAATTTAATGTGACATATTTTTTTTTTAAATGTGGTTTACAATTTGCGGGATAGTTTGGTTGCAGTATATCCCTTTCTTGGCCAAAATGCATTAAGCAGATTTGCACAAAGAAATATAATTGCAGTATAATTGCTGAAACTTCCACTGAGACACAAATTATATGCTCTTAAAGATGACTGCTCAGGGGTTTTATAGAAAAAATTCTGCTTTGAATGGAAAGAGATACGAAAAACCTAAACAAACTAGAAAACTTCTAAAGTCTCTGTAACTCAGTGATCTTATCATTCTAGTGTCCATTTGACATCTAACTTGAGTAAGTCATAGTGGACTTTCTTCTCAACTCAAGCCCCTTAGATGCTTTCTAAAAGACGCTCAGCTGATTGCTCTTTCCATTGTCACTATCAAATTATCTATTCTGTGAACAATCTGATTCTCTAATTAATGTCGTAGCACATGTGCATTAATCTGTCTGGTCCTCCAGTTCTCTAATGAGAGACAAACTCACTACAAGATCTTCCTTAAGAAATAACAAACTGACTGACTCAGCATGACACCCTCACCTAATTAATAAAATGGTGACAATTTTAAAATCCCTGTGCTGTGATTTTTCCTTAACAAAAACTGTTTTGCAGATGTGCAAAGGGACACAAGAAAGAATGTAAATTTAGCAGTTCATAACCTTTGACTAAACAAACCAGAGATTAGATGGAATCAATACTGCCAGAAAGAATTTCCCCCAGTCTGGTAAATCTGGAAATGCAAGAAAATAAATCTATCAGAAAAAAAAAATGGTCTGTTTATAGCGACATCTAGTGGTGTTTGTTTTCCTGCTTGCCCATTCCTAAATGAATTCCCCAGGAAGATAGCAAATACAAAAAACTTACTATTTTGTTATTTTTATCAATACAAACACATAACCTATGTAACATGTTATTGGAGTAACAGGAATAAATATTTCAGAAAACCACATGAATTAGCATGAACTGATGATTTGCAGAAGCTATTTTTGAAAAGTGTTGTGGGTGAATGGATTATGACTCTCATGATGACCACAAGAATAGTAATGCCTGTCCTCATACAGAAATAGGTGTATTTCTTGGTGTTGAAACACATGACCATAGATTTTTTTTTTCAGATGAAGCAGGAGATTCATGGTAGAAATAACTTTGTGAAAAATGAATAATCTCATGGCAGATTTATCTTAAACTAAGATAACTAAAATGACTACATTCTCAAAAGGCTATCTTAAAGAATACTGACAACCTCTGTTATCTGATAGTTTACCCTGGAAGAGTTTGTATCACTATGCTAAAAATGTGTGTGTGTGTGTGTGTGTGTGTGTGTGTGTGTGCAGGGAAGTGAGGGGTGGGGTGAGCACAACATGATTATAAAATTTGTCCTGACACTTAGAGTAGACTTTTTGATTAAACACATTTTCTAAAATGGTGGTGATTATAAAAGAATACAATTTTGAAATAAAATCAATGACAGGACTTTAAAAAAGCAAGCAACAGTTTTTAAAAGTCATAGGTTTGTTACAATCCAGGGGATTGTAAAACTGTTAGGTAATATTCTCTCTGGCTATTTCAGAAGAGAATAAATTTTGACAAGGAGCACTTTTTTTTTTCCAGAGGAAGGTTTTTGCCTTTCACCTGTTCTGACACTCAAAGTTCTTCTAGGAGAGGCCACAGAGAAATCTATTCTCTGCGTTGCTCTTATATCTTCTGGATCACTTTAGGACAGATCCCATTCATTATGGACAGATGCCTTCACTGAATTTATGCAACTAATATTTATGGCCACTCATGCTCCGATAGCAATGAATGAGTCTGAACCAGTACGAGATATTAATTATTGCAAACCGTATCTTCACTTTTCTACTGAAAAGAAGTCTTACCTTGTATCACTTGATTTCTGTCTCCAGCACAGCCCCTAGGACTGTCTTTCTGCAGGTGACATCAGTATTATAGGACATTAACGTCTCAGAGGGTCCTTGAAGTGTATGTCTGTCCACTTGTAACCCTGCACTTCAAGGCACATAGAAACTGCTTTGACCTTTTAGGCCATCTCTTCTCTTTAGAGAAGATGAGTTCTTTAGAGAAGGATGAGTCCCTTCCAGCCTGACACAGTAAGCATTACTTTAAAAGCTCGTCATTCTACTTTATTCTCCCGAGTGATAACCATTTTGCCTGCAAGTGTCATAGGTGAATATTTTGAAGACCAAATGTGACTATAATACTGCCAAGTTCTACTCTGAGCATTTTGGAAAATACTTTCTCCCTCAAATACATAATAAAGTTAAATAACTTGACTTTTTCAGGCAGTCAAATTTATCATTGAGGCATAAATTAGTTATACAGTGGCATGATTTCAATACCACTTCTTGCCCACAGAAGGGAATTACAGTAAACAGATTCATAGAATTTCTCACCTAAAAATTTGTCTAGGTGTTCCAGGGCATAGCCACAGGCAGATTTCAGAAGTCTTTTAAATATACGAATTGAAAATGGTTCATATATGTACCTAAGGATAGGAGGAAAAAATTTACTTTTAACATCTATCCATAGGCTTGAATTTTACTGACTGTCAAAATCGTCCTAAAGGAACAACATTAAAGTTCAGTAAAAAATATTCAGTGATACAATATGTCAAACACTTGGTGTGTATCTGCAACCTTAAGACTAAGTGTAGTACCCTTCCATCACCTTTGGTTTTACTCTGTGCTGAAAAATATAGCCCCTGCCTGGCAAAGTGTCATCTTTTCCAGTCTGGAAAAAAACATATCAGTGAGATTTTGTTAGTTTGACAGTGGTCAGAGTTTCTGCAGCATTTTGCAAAAAGTATGTTGATGTAGCATGCAGTCAATAGTGCTTAGAAGTATGTTCGTGTATGTATTGAAATTTATCAATAGTTTTAAATAAGTAATGAGATATTTATCTTAACTATCATGCCACCTAAAGTATCAAATAATCCTACATTAATGATTATAATAAATATCACAAATGTCTTGTATTTCTTTACTCAAAGAATCATCAGTCACGTGTAAATCTCCTATCTCTCCTCTTCTAGCTGTCTTATCCTGCTTTTGTTTATTTCTCTCTTTTTTCTTTTAGCAGGCCTGTTTAGTATCCATCTGCTTTTATTTCATTTAGCTGGATGCCTCAAGATGTATAAGTGCAATCTAAATTTCAGTCAGTCTATATTCATCTTTCTAGGGATGACCCAGCTTTCAAGTTCAGAGTGAGTCCTGTCTTCTCCAAGAAGGATTCACTGATTATTCCATTCTGGTGGTTTTCAACTCAGCTTACATATTCGACTCACCAGGGTAGCTTTAAATGTGTGTGTGTGTGTGTGTGTGTGTGTGTGTGTTTTATATGTATAACATTTAATTATATATAATTAGCATTTTTAAATATGTATTGAATATTCTATGCATATATGTATACATATATATACACATATATTTGTGTGTGTATATTTATAAAATTAACCCCCCACCCAGATACTCTGATTTAATTGTTCTAGGGTAAAACTTTGATAAACCTATTTTTAGAAGGTCCATGGTAATTCTGATTGTATAGCCATGGTTGAGCTTCCTGCCATCTTGTTTTTGCCATACGAGTAATACTCGCTTTTTTTTTTTTTTTTTTGAGGCCAGAGAGGGGAATGGGTGATACATGCCATTGATACACAATCTAAAAGATAGAAAATATATACATAGTCAAAAATAAACCTCCTTCTTTACACTGGCCACTCAGCTACCTTCCCCAGAGGCAAATCCTGCTTGCAGCATTTGGTATTTCCTCTCAGAGACAATGTACTCACAAACAAATATGAATATTTATCAGAAACTCCTCCTCCTGCTCCCCTTCCCCAACCATACAAAAGATAAAATACTCTAGAAATTCATATGACTGTTACTTTTTAAAATATTTTATAATATCTTTTTATATTAGAACACAATTTTGTGTCCCTATTTTTAACAGTGACACACTATACCACTCTAGAACATAATCCATGTTATTGATTGCTTTTGCAATATTTCAGTGTACACATTTGCCTATTCAACAGTAGCATGTGTGTGATAATATCTGTAGAATAAATTCTTGGAGTGAAAGGGCTAGATCCAAAATTTTGTGCATCTCACTTTGCTACTAAACACCAGGTCACCCTCCAGAGAGACTGGATAACTTGACACTCCCACAAGCAATATGCAAGTGCCTTTATTGTCTCTTTTCAACACAGTATATCAGCAACATTTTACTAACTACCAATTTGATAGGTGAAAAAAAGAGTATTTCATTCTGGTGCTAAATGTCCATCTCTTCTCAGCAATGAGATTGAACAGTTTTTTCTCATGCTTTAAACCCATTTGTATTTCATCTTTTACATACTGTTTGTTCATATCCTTTACACATTTTCTTATTAGTTTGTTAAATTTTAACCTCTGAATTTCAAAGTTTATTGAGTCTTATGTGGCGGGTTTTTGCCCTCACATAGAACCTTCTTTATTCTTCTGAGAGTAAATGGTTACATTTGTTTTTAATTGCTTGGATTTCAGACATCGTAGAAAGTATACCTGTACTCTAAAATTATTTAAACATCATAAATGCATCCTATATTTTTATAGTTTCACTTTTACATCTAAGTATTTGACCAATCCAAAATTTACCCTAGATTTACAATTTGTGTTTAATAGCATTGCTTTTTTGTTTTTTTAATATTTTAATTATTTATATAATACTTCCTCCTGAATTGGATTTTAGTTTACATGTAAAGATTAACATAATAGATGAAATAAGTTTAAAATA
Source organism: Homo sapiens (assembly GCF_000001405.40). Lineage (NCBI taxonomy): Eukaryota > Metazoa > Chordata > Mammalia > Primates > Hominidae > Homo > Homo sapiens. Next base: position 165,213,317 of record NC_000005.10, read on the forward strand.
AATGAGAACCATGAAAACATAAGGCAGACATAGGTGATTTTAGTATACAAATTACATGTGATAAAGAAAAAGATTCCATCTAAAATTGGACCACAAATTTGGCCATAAACTTGCAGACAGTGTGAGAAGGACGTGTAATATAACCAGATATTCAATTCATAGCACCATCAAAATTAACACCCCAGCACACATGTGCACATACACACACATACCTCCTACACTTTATCAATGAAAACACAGGTGTGTTTTTGATAAACAGACTAAGATTAAATGGTAATTCTTAGTTATTATGAAACACAATTGACATCAAATTTTATTTGTCATCACCGTCAGATGAGGGAGCTTGTCTGTCTTATTCACACCTATATTCCTAGTACATGACTGAAACATTAAGTATGTCTTGGATTTATGAATGAATAAAGGTTTATGTTAGCTTTTGACACTAAGTAGCTTAACAGGCTAGGGATACATGATTATACATCTTTTTAAAACACATAACCTATAAAAATTCTAACATGAATAGCCTTAAGATAATGCAGTAGCTGAATAGAGGTTTTCCAGAAAGTGACAGCCTACTATTACTATAAGCTAATTGCTAATTGTACGTTATAAAATGTCTTCATCTCACTGGATCTTTAGTGAACAGAAGCAGAAAATACTTGATTGGGTTAGTATTGTATTGCTATGTAAGGGAAAATATTATTCCATGTAATTTTTCATGTGGTCATGTCCCACTATCTTAGCCTGGTTGAATTCAAAACACCTATTGTATTCTCTGTTATTTAGACCTTAACTGTTTGTAAATGTAATGCCTTTTCTCACAAACTAATTATAACCAGTAAGATTATTCCTCATTTTATATTTCCATTTATTATACTTTTTATTCATTTCTGCTCTATATTAGCTGGATTTATCATCTCTTGATTTAGAAGTTATTAAAAAACTACGCCTGTTCTTGTAGTTTTCCTTTATGCAAATTTCCACATATACTTACCTCTATTGACTTATTAGATGATCAATATCTATAAAGTGTTTTTTCTTTAATACTTAAAAATGTTTCTCACTTTTTTTCATATTAAAATTTTTTATGCCAATCAGGTGGTCTTCTCTTTCCGTACAAGAGTTTTTAGAATTATCTTTTTGTCTTTGGTGTTCTTAAATGTTACAATTACATATTATATATGATCAGCACTTTATCAATGGTTTGTATCTGAGGTCTGTAATTTTTCTGTTATACTAATGTATTAGTCTGCTGAGGCTATAAAAAGAAAATATGACAGACTGGGTGGCTTTCACAACAAAAATAAATTTTCTCACAGTTCTGGAGGCCAGAAGTTCAAGACCAAGGTAGCAATCAACTCACTGTGTGGTAAGGGCTCTCCTCCTGGCTTGTAGACTGCTGCCTTCTGGCTGTGTCTTCCCATGGATTTCCCTGAGTGCATGTGCATGTAGAGAAAGAGAGAACGAGTTTTCTGGCCTCTCTCCTTATAAGGATACCCATCGTATCAGATTTGGGCCATAGCCTTAAGACCTCATTTCACCTTGATTGCTTCCTTAAAGGTTCCATCTCCAAACTCAGCTACACTGGGATTTAGGCCTTCAACACATGAATTCTGGGGAGACAGAAACACTTAGTGCGTAACAAGTAGGAATTTTTTTCAAGCCCTTCTCTCTCTCTCTCTCAATCTCTTTCCTCCTAGCCCTGCTCCTCCCACTATTTCTCTGGCTCTTTTGTACTCTGGCTTGCTTTCTTCTTCTTGGGCTTCTACCCAGTGTTCCTATTTTTTTTTTTTTTTTTTTTTTTTGAGATGGAGTCTCACCCTGTTGCCAGGCTGGAGTGCAGTGGTGTGATCTTGGCTCACTGCAATCTCCGACGCCCTGGTTCAAGTGATTCTCCAGCCTCAGCCTCAGCCTCCCAAGTAGCTGGGATTACAGGCATGCACCACCACACCCAGCTAATTTTTATATTTCTAGCATTGGCGAGGTTTCACCATGTTGACCAGGACGATCGCCATCTCCTGACCTCGTGATCCACCTGCCTCGGCCTCCCAAAGTGCTGGCATTACAGGCATGAGCCACCATGCCTGGCCAGCATTTCTATTTGTAAACTCCATATCCCTTTAACTTGCTTTTATATCTTTGATCTCTTTGCTATTTCCTGTATTTTTTAAGTTTTATTAACATGATCTTCCAACTATCTAATTTATTCATCAGCTCTATATTTTGGGTGATGGTATCTTATCTATGGGTGTTTTAATTCAACTACTAGATTCTAAAGCTATGATTTGTATTTTAATAAGTTTCTATTTTTCCTCCACATTGGTATTATAATTCCTAATTTATATTATTATTTTATGCTTATTTTCTAATATTTGTTCCATTCCACTAATTCTGTTTCAGTAGGATTTTATTATTTGGTTTGTCATCTTTTATATGAAAAATTCTTGCCCTTAACTTCACATTGCAATGACCAGGGGAGCTTTAAACGCTGAAGTCTGGGTACCATTGCTGCGATATTTACAAAATAGGTCTGTAATGCTGCTGCTATTGTCTTAGGATTTTTTGAAGCAGCTCAATTCTGTTGGTCAGCCAATATTGGTTAGCATTGTTTGTAATGATTGTCCTTCTCTTTTAGGTTAGGATTGGGGGAGGATATGTCAGCTAGGTACATGGTTAATATGAGGGAAGATTAGAAGACTAGAACATTAGAAGACTAGTTTGGCTGTACTTGCCTATTCATCTTAGGAAGAGGGACAACGATGGAACACAAGGAAAGAGAGACCCCAGGTACCACAGAACCCCTGCTGACCATTCCCTATTGCTACCTTTTTTATCCACCAGCCAATATATCTGGTGAGGAATTCTCCTTTAAATTCTCAGAAATAAGAAGCTTTGGGGGAAGGCCATCTCCTTAGATTGCAATTCGCCATATCTGAGGAAACAGAGTGAAGCAGGAGGAGAAGTGGATGCTCCTAGTCATCCCAATGGGATCCTACACCTTAAATAAGCAGGGCTGTTAACCTGCTTGGGGAAGGTTAACACCTGAAGTAGATACTACTATAGATCTCTCTAGCAAAGAACAGTTGATGACTTATCCTAGTACTGAAAAGAGAATTTAAGAGCCTTCCTTAAAGCAAGGATTTTTAAACTTGAATGTACATCAGAATCACTGGGAGGGCTTGTCAAACAGGTTGCTGGGCCCCACCCTCAGAGTTTCTGGGTTATAAAATTTGCATTTCTAACACATGCCCCTCTGAAGTTGATACTGCTGGTCTGGAGACCACACTTGAGGAATTATTGACTTAAATCTCTCCTTTAGCTCAAGATCCAATTTTCTATCTAGAGATTTCTTGTATTTGTTTACATTTGTTTGTTTTTAATATTTTTAATTTTATATTGCTTTAGTTGTTAATTCCTATACTTATATTCCTTTCTTGCTTTCGTAGATTCCTCAAAGTTTACTTTGAAGAGAGAACTAGGAGCTTATCTTATTTTTACTCTTAATAGGAAACAGAAGCCCCTCCACAGTTTCTTATTATAATTTTGAATGTTGTTTATGTTTTTTTAAAAAAGTATATACATTGTAGAAAATATTGTGCAACTCAAAAACTTAAAAAGTAAAATTTACCTATAATTCCTCATAACAAACCTTAACGTTTTTGTTTAAATCTTTCCCATCTCTCTTGTTAAAAATACTGGATTACTTAACATATTGTGGATTATGAGTTAGGAATTTTAACATGAATGTGCATAGGTGATTTTTAAATTTCCCGTATCAAACGCTAAAAAAAATTCTGAATGGAAACTGTGAATATGATTTATGTTCTACTCAATAAAAATCCTCTCTTAAAGTCTTTCTGACACGTAGAACTTGGAAAAAAAGACTAATATGGTTATAATTGGGTATGCATTAGCCAAGCAGTCCAGGACATTTAAGTATAGGGTTTAGGAAATTCAGTTAAACTATAAAATCAAAACTGAATTTCAGCAACAAAACAGTTTTATTCATTTTTTAGTTAAATGATATCTTGATACATTTGACTATTGGAAATTTCTACAATGTTCACAATCTTTTACTTAAACTTGTCCTTTCACATTGTATTCACATCTACATTCCTTAGATGGAAAAAATCATAAGATGTATGCTTGAAGAGTAGTTGGTACTACCATGTTTACTTGTAGTAATAATGCCATACTACTGAAATACCAGAATCTGCTAGGCTTGCGTTGCTAATAAATGATTACTGAAAGCATATGAATAGCATAACTACATGGCTTGACGCAGTAGAAAGACAGTGATTTTGTTTGCCTCTCCCATTTGCTGTCTGTCTTCTTTCATGGTACAGCAGTCTTTGAAAAAAAGTACTACATGGAATTGAGCTGGAACCAGATACTAGGCAATAGATTAATGCATGGCTTACGTAAAAAGGCACTAACTGACAATTTACATTGTTCTGGATGCTAAGTAATAATAACAATATCAACTCCTAATATATATCATACACTGCTCTATTAGAAGTGTAGCAGGACAAGCCACAGACAAAACCCCTCAGACACCGAGTTAAAGAAGGAAGGGCTTTATTCAGCTGGGAGCTTCAGCAAGACTCACGTCTCCAACAACGGAGCTCCCTGAGTGAGCAATTCCTGTCCCTTTTAAGGGCTCACAACTTTAAGAGGGTCCACGTGACAGGGTCGTGATCGATTGAGCAAGCAGTGGGTAGGTGACTGGGGGCTGCATGCACCGGTAATCAGGTCGGAATAGAACAGGACAGGGATTTTCACAGTGCTTTTCTATACAATGTCTGTAATCTATAGATAACATAACTGATTAGGTCAGGGGTCGATCTTTATCTACCAGGCCCAGGGCGTGGCGCTGGGCTGTCTGCCTGTGGATTTCATTTCTGCCTTTTAGTTTTTACTTCTTCTTTCTTTGGAGGCAGAAATTGGGCATAAGACAATATAAGGGGTGCTCTCCTCTCTTACAAGCACTATGGTATATGCTTTCTTTACCTTATCTTGTGTAATACTTACATCATAGAGTAGAACTATTACTAAGGTAGAGGTCATATATGTGAGTTAATCCATCATTTAATTATTCAATAATTATGTATTAAGAGCATATAGTTTGCTAGGAAATGTGTGAAGAGCTGAGACCCTGAGCTGGACACCTTTTTCCCTGGAGCTCACATACCGCTAAGTGAAAGAAAACATACAAAAGCAATAAATAAATAAACTGATTAATTGTAGCTTATGAAAAGTGCTCTGAAGGAAATGTTAAAAGAAAATCTTTAGCCAAATTAAATGTAATAGAATTTAACTGAGCAAAGAAGGATTTGCATTTCAGACAGCCTCCCCAGCCAGAGTTGGTTGACAGAGACTTTGCGCAGCTACAAAGGACAGGATAAGGAAAGTGACATAAAGAAACTGGAAGTGAGGAACAGAAACAGCCTCACTTCAGCTTAGTGTTTTTGCCTTATTTGAACATGGTTTGAACAGATGGCTCCCTTTGATTGTCCAAAACTTGGTAATTGGCACAAAAGTAGGTTACAGTTTGTTTACACCTCCATTTAGGTTAGAGTTCACTATATAGTTATACAAAGAAAACCTTTAGTTTGAACTTAAAATATGTAAAGAGGCAGCTGTAGGCTAAACTTGGTTTAACAAAGTAATAGAGTAAATGATAGAGTCAATTTAGGGAGGTACGGTTAAAGAGAACCTCTTCTGGGCCAGGCGTGGTAGCTCATGCCTGTAATCCCAGCACTTTGGGAGGACGAGGCGGGCTGATCACCAGGTCAGGAGATCGAGACCATCCTGGCTAACACGGTGAAACCCCATCTCTACTAAAAATACAAAACAATTAGCTGGGCGTGGTGGCGGGCGCCTGTAGTCCCAGCTACTCGGGAGCCTGAGGCAGGAGAATGGTGTGAACCCAGGAGGCGGAGCTTGCAGTGAGCCGAGATCGCACCACTGCACTCCAGCCTGGGCACAGAGCGAGACTCCATCTCAAAAAAAAAAACCTCAAAAAAACAAAAAAAAAAAACAAAAAAACTAAAGAGAATCTCTTCTAAAAGGTAGTGTTTAAGCTGAGACTTAAAGGTAAACGAAAAGTCAGCTCCCTGGGTGAACAAATAAGTTTTGAAGCTGTAAAATCAGAATGATCTGGAGATGTCTAATTCTAATGTGGTTAAAGAACATAATACTTTCTTTGATTTCAGTTCTTGTGTTTTCTTTAAATCACAATGAATAGTATTGTCTATTTTTATGAACGTTCTATGTACACTGTAAAGAATGTGTGCTTTGCCGCTGTTGGGTGCTGTATAAGTGTCAATTACATACATTTGGCTGATGGTGGTATTCAATTATTCTGTATCTTTGATGATTTTCCTTTTAGTTTTTTTCTATCGGTTACTATAAAAAGACTATTGAAGTCTCAAGACATAATAATGGATCTTTTCACATCTTTGGTTCTATCAGTTTTTCCTTTATGTATTCTGAAACTCTATTTTCTTGGTGAATTGAAGATTTTTATTATTATATAATATCCATCTTATATCACAGGTAATATTTCTTGTTCTGAAGTCTACTTTGTCTGATGTTAACATATAGCTACTACAGTTTTCTTTTGATTAGTTGTTGTATACCATTTTTGCCATCCATTTACTTTTACTCTAATTATATATAAACTAGGGTTGTTGTAGATAGATATGGGTTGTTTTCTTAAAAAATTAAAGATATCTTGACAATCTCTGTATTTCAAGTGATGAGTTTAAAACATTCAAATTTAATAGAATTATCAGCATGTTTAAATTTAGATCTACCATTTTACTGCTGGTTTTCTAATTTTTCTTTTTCATTTTTTTGTCTCCCCTTTGCTGCCTTCTTTGGGATTAGGTAAATGCTTTTTTTTTTCTTTTTCAGTATTCTATTTTAATTTATCATTGAGTTTTTGAAGATATCACTTTGTATAGTATTTTTGGTCGTTTCCCTGTAGGGATTATGACACATATACTTACTTTTTTACATTCTATTTAGAGTCAATATTTTATCACTTTAAAGGGTAAGCAGAAAATCATCAAAATATAGGTACATTTATTCTCCTTTTATGTTGTATATTTTGTTATAATTTATGTTTTTAATCATTGTGCATATTTTAAAGAACTGAAGGAGAGAAGAATAGTCTCTTATATTTTACCAAATCTGTTACTCTTCCTTTATTCCTGGTGTTACAGGTTTCTTACTGACAGCAAATGCTCTTAGTTTAGTTTCATCAGGAATATCTTTATTTGATTTTCATTTATCAAGAATATTTTTACTGGATAAAGATTTCTGAATATAGAATCATTTTTTGCATCACTTAAAAAATGTTGTTCCACTTCCCCTTAACTACCATGTTTCCTTATATAAAATATACAGTATTCAAATCAGAATTCTCCATTTGTATTGAGTTTCTGGGTGCATTCAAAAATTTTTTCTTTGTTTTTTAATTTCAGAAGTTTTAGAGTGTAGATTTTTTGTAGCTTCTTCTCCTTAGAGTTTCCTGAGCCTCCTCAGGCATCTTTAAGATTTTATCTTTCGCCAAATTAAGGAAGTTTCTGGCTATTTTTCTTTAGATATTTTTTCTCATACTTTCTTCCTCCTTCTGTGGTTCAGATGACACCAATATTAGGCTTTTTGACATTGTTTCACAGGACTCAGAGGCTCTGTTCATTTTATTTTTAAGTCTCTTTTTACTCTCTTCTTTGAAATAGTTAATTTCTCATGATCGGTATTCAAGTCATCTGCCTCTTTTCCTCTGTTATCTCCATTATCCTATTTAGTCCATCCAGTGAATTTTCTCTTTGGACTGTCACATTGTCCAGTTCTAAAATTTCCATTTTTCATCTTCATATATTCTTTCTCTTTGCTGAGACCTTCTATTTTTCTATTCATTATGAGTCTTTTCATTTGCCTGTTAGAGCATGGTTATAATATCTCTTTAATGTCTTTATCTGATAAATACAACATTCCTGTCATTTTGATTGTGATATTTTTAATTGTCTTTTTCTTTAAGAGTTAAGAGACGATCACACTGGTTTCTCATATGCCAAATAATTTTAAATTATATCCTGGGCATTTTGAGAATATGTTATGAGACTCTGATTATGTCTTAAATCATAAGAAAAAGGTTGATTTTCTTCTTATATTAAGCAATCAACCTATTCAGGCTTATGGAACAAACTCTGATCTGCCTTCTTTGGATTGTGACTCCAATGTCTGCACCATTTCTTTAAGTGTTTTCAATGCTATTTGGATCAGTCTGTGTGTGCATTTCCAAGTAGCAATTTTTGGCCTGGGTGATGGTCTTTATTGTAGCTTAGTTTTCAAAGCCTTATTATACCATCTGTGGTCAGATGTTTACATGCTCAGTTCAGGGTATAGTCCAGCAGTACATACGCAACTTCGTGGTATTCATCTCTCTCTCTTCTCACATTCACTGTCATTCTAACTCTTTCTTCAGCTCCCTCATTTTTGCAATCTCCATAATACTTCTCAATTTCCTGAAGCCTCTTTTCCACATCCTCTGGTGAAAAAGCCCAGGCTTTAGTTTACCTGTTCTTCTATGTACTTCTCATAACTGAGTTTGCATTTTGAGCCAAATAGCAGGAGGACAGCAAGAAGTCAAAGCAACAGGGATCTCCCTTCTGTTCTTAGGATCATGACTCTTCTGTTAAAAAAAAAAAAAAAAAAAAAAGTTAGACTGGGTGCTGTCAATACTGTCACATTGGGGATTAAGTTTAAACATGAATTTCAAAGGGAACAAACATTCAAACCATGAGATCACTTTATTTGCATTTTTCCTTCAATTCCCTTTTCAATCCTATGAAATGTAGGCATCACTATTTCCAATAATAATCAGAGACATGGCTGGGCATGGTGGCTAACACCTGTAATCCCAGCACTTTTGGAAGTACAGTTGAGAGGATTGCTTGAGCCAAGGAGTTCAAGACCAGCCTGGGCAACATAGTAAGTCCTGATCTCTATAAAATAAACATAAGAAAATTAAAAAAAAAGGAAAAAGAAATGTTCCCTCTCCTACTTTTAGGTGTCTGTTGAACTACCATTATTAATGCTTCAGCTATAGAATTCTCTCAGGGCTAGAGTACAGGAGATAATGGAAAAAAGAAAGAAAAATAGCCACCAAGATTTCTCCCACTCTCTGTTTGAGAAGTCCCGTTTCCTATTTCATGAAGCTCCTGGAGCTCTTTCTGCCTTCATCCAGCCTGCAATTTTATGCTGCCTTTGTTTCTAGGCCAGGAAATACAGGAGAGGGGAAAAATGGCAATTTCACCACCAGTTTAGTGATACCTTGAATTACCATCTTTTTTTCCAATCTACCTCCTACCATTTATTCTTTACAGTCCTCAGATATCTGTACTTAGTCTTGCATTAAGTGAGAGAGACCCTGTTCAGGAACCTCCATATTTTGGCCTGCTAAAAAAAAACAGAATTTAAAAAGGTGACCAGAGAAGAGTGAGTGATGGAAATTGAAGGAAGGGAGTGCAGTTGGGGATCATAGACAGGAGCAAGATCATAAATAGAGGGTGTTTGGATTTCATTCTAATAACAAGAAATTTCTAAAGAATTTAATCAGGACATAGATATAATATGTATATTACAAAAAGATCACTTGTACTGCTGTATGGAGAATGAATCGTAGGAATTTAAGATGTATGTTGGTGGTTTAAACATTGAATACAAGTTGCATAGAGAAAAAGCATTTTCAAGGTGGGGCACAATAATTTGTCAATGGATTACATATGGGGAAAGAGGAAAGCAAAGCGATAAGGATGGTGCTGACATTTTTACCTTCAACAACTGGACAGGCAACAGTGACATTTACTGATATGAAAAAGATGGGGAAAAAGCAAGAATTAGAGCTGAATGTAGAGGGGTTTTTGATCCTTTGGATGTGCTACGTTTGATACACCAATTATGCACCCAATTGGAGATGTCAACTAGGCAGTTCGAGTCATTCTATTCCATTATCGTGAGTGCTACTGATGGTGAACTATGTTGGATATATTTGGCATAGGTTAAACAAACAAACAAACAAACAGAACATATAAAAGAGCATGCATAAAACACTCAAATATATTTCTCTATTTCTCACAAATACTCATGATGGGTCAGTAGTGCCATGTTACTATAAGCAGAAATCATCCTATATTTTCCTGGAAGCTTATCAGACTCACATTTGTTGGTGATGGGTTGCTTGGAGGTAATTTCATAAGAAGCCTAAAGTTCTTAAATTTTATTTTTATTTTATTTATTTATTTTTTGAGACAGAGTCTTGCTCAGATGCCGAGGCTGGAGTGCAGTGGCACCATCTCAGCTCACTGCAAGCTCCACCTCCCAGGGTTCACGCCATTCTCCTGCCTCAGGCTCCCGAGTAGCTGGGACTACAGGCGCCCGCCACCACACCTGGCTAATTTTTATTTTTTATTTTTTAGTAGAGATGGGTTTTCACCGTGTTAGCCAGGATGGTCTCGATCTCCTGATCTTGTGATCTGCCCGCCTCGGCCTCCCAAAGTGCTGGGATTACAGGCATGAGCCACCACGCCTGGCCTAAAGTGCTTAGATTTTATTATATTACTTATAGCTGTAAACCAATATTTGTTTTTGGTCTCTTTTATAATCAAAGTACAATATGATGCACTACTTCTCAATGTCTGAGTTATTTGAAACAGAAAAAGATCTTCCGGTACTTTTAACAGTTCACATTGTTCTTTCTCAGGCCTTGTCACTTTGATGCCTCTCTGCCTGTGTGTGATTAACAGATGATTCCTTATCCTTCATTTAGTCTTCTGGTCTCTAATGAGTAACTATTATTCAGAACACCGCTTAATGAAAAAAGACTTACTGCTTTCTGGATCTTTTTTATTGTCTAAGGTTTAGAACTTGAGGACCACCTGGATTCCTACTTGCTAACAAATCATGACATTCTTTCAACTCCTCATTACATCTGAATTATTAGCCTAAATCAGGAAATGTGCACACACAAATGCACACACACAAACATATACACTGTACAAATATATGTGCATACACACATATTCCCTGTGGTGAGCAAGATAGGATGGCCCTATACTTTTGACATTCTATCCGGATCTCTCAGGAGGAGGGATGTAACAGGAGCCATGTTCCTCCAGAAATAAGACAGTGAGACAGAATGGCATCTAATTAAAATGTTTATGGCATTTCCCATGAGATATAAGCCACTGACATTTTCCAGACTGCAAGCCAAGAAATGCTTAGGATTATACAGATGTACTTTGCAATCTACAATTGCCATGCAATGAAAACATAGCTTAGACACAGTTCAGGAAATATAGATTGGTTAACCTTTCTTTAGAACTCAGAAATTAAAAGTTAGGTCCTATGAGAATTTATGGTAAGTTGAGCAGCTCATCTCTTCTCAAAGTAAATCAAGAATCCATTTTCTCTTTTCCATAAGTCATCTTCCTCTAGAGTAGTTTCTCTCATCTGTATCTGAGGCTGCCAAAACCGCAGCTGCTTCATTATATCTCCTACTCCCAACTGCTGTACTCTTCCTGCTAATTCTCACAGTTTGGCAGTCCTACACTATCATATTTCCAAGAGGTGAACGATGATGCTGACCTCAGCTCTCTTAACCTCAGCTCTCTGTCCATTCCTCAGTTTCTCATAATATCAGTCATTCATGCCTTTGAATAAATGTTTATCGAGCAACTAACTACCCTGTTCCAGGCACCCTTAGAATGATGAGATGTGTCAGTAATCAAAGTAGACATAACTTCTGTTCTCCTGCAGCTTACATTCTGAGGGGGAGAAGGAACAAATAATTAACAAGAAATAAGCAAAGAACATTATTTTCTGTGGTGGTGAATACCATGAAGAAAATAAAACAAGCTAGGGGAAAAGATAGTGCTAATGAGAAGAGTAATTTGGTCCTTTACCTTCAATCCTTCAGCATGCAAGTCTTCACTTCCTTCCTTCAAGGATTGGTATTGCCCTAGAATTGATTCTTTCACTCACAGAGGCATTCATGAAGACCCCAAATGCTCAGCTTATTTTTCATAGTTCATTTTTATTAGTCTAAAATAACTGTTTTAGGCTGAAAATGGAGAGCGCACTTTGTCACTCCAAGCTTAATTTCCTATCGGCAATGGATGTAAGTCTTTGCGTTATTATGCAAGGCATCATCAATTCTTGCTTTTTCACTCTCTGAGACCTGAAGATTTTTCGGTACATTTTCTAATAGAGACATCTATCTGTTGCTTCTACTTATATTATTTTTCCAAAAATTCTGCAGAACCTTTGTGAGGAAACTAAGCATTCCTGTACATTGAGCTAGACTTGATTGTTAAGCAAAATTCCTTCCTTTACTAATCACTATAAGTGGAAAGGTGGCAATATATAGTATTCTCCCTTTGTGCAGAGAAGTGGATTGCAGTGGGATGGAAGAGAGGAAATATTTTACTATTTCATTAAAATAAGATAGAATATGCTTTGGAACTAAAGAAAACATTCCATATGAACATTTCTATTAAACTGAGTTTTACCTAGAAAATCCGCAGACATGTTTAGAAGCTAAGTATGAATTTGGATAAAGCATCAATATAAGAAAGCATTCTTAACTATTAATAAACCTCCAAAGACTGTATGCTAAAGATAGCTTTTAAGTGGCTGTTAACTTTAATCAGGAATATTTTCTAAAACTGCTTATATTTATTTACACCTTCTCTCCAAAAGGACTCATAGAAAACATCTTTTGGGTTTTTTTTATTTTTTTTTAAACTTGTGATAGTCACCACTCAGCTAATGTCCAACAGGCATTCTATTGGCCTTTCCATATGTCCAATGCATAGCAATATATATGCCTAAAAGCAGAATATAATTGGGATCACCTTGGCATACACACTTTCGCAATAGACCTAAGCAGAAAGCTATATAAGACATACTGCTTCTCGGCCGGGCGCAGTGGCTCACGCCTGTAATCCCAACACTTTAGGAGGCCGAGGCGGGTGGATCACGGTGTCAGGAGATCGAGACCATCCTGGCTAACACGGTGAAACCCCGTCTCTACTAAAAATAAAAAAAAAAAAACTAAAAAAAAAAAAAAAAAAAATTACCCAGTGTGGTGGCAGGCGCCTGTAGTCCCAGCTGCAGTCGGTGTGGTAGCAGAGCTACAGCTGGGCATGGTGGCAGGCGCCTCCGTCCAGACTAAGGCAGGAGAATGGCGTGAACCCGGGAGGCGGAGCTTGCAGGGGGCCGAGATCACGCCGCTGCACTCCAGCCTGGGCGACAGAGTGAGACTCCGTCTCAAAAAAGAACAAAAAACACAACAAACAAAAAACCCACCATACTTCTTCTTAGGTATCAGTAGCAGGGTTTGAGAGGTCATGATAGATGATAGATCTCTATTTTATATTGCAATGGAATATATTAGCCACATGGCAAAAGGGGTTACATATGCAGTCTAGATTCAAGAATACCAAACTATATGAGGTTTGAAAACAATTTCAGAGCAATGGAATTCCATTCGTCTAATTTTATTTTTTCTTTTAAATTCAAAACACATTCATTGACATAACGTAGGAATTGTAGATAAGCAATTTTAAAAAGACTTAGCATTGTTAAAACCTTAGGACATTTTTCAAAAGCCTCTTTTTTATAGAAATTGTGATTTTGTATTTTTCTAGTAGTCTGATCTCTTTTCCCTTATACCTGGCACTGTGCAAGATTCAATGGTGAGCAAAAATTATTTAGTTTCTGCTCTCAGATTCTAGAAAATATTGTAAGTATCTTTCCATGTTGATACATATTCATTATCACATGAATACCTAAGTCTATACTTTATGTATTATTTAACCTTGTCCCATGCAGACATTTCATTTTTCTCTACCTTTTTTCATTATTCACAATAATTCTCCTGTGGAAATCCTGGAAGCAAATGTCTCTTTCCTCCCACCCAGTTCAATTTGACTTCCTACCTTCTCCTCTAATTTAGTGCCAGCTGTTGATCTGATTGTATCATGTGCACTGCTGTAGAAATGTGCACTATTGTAAGAAGTGCTTTGTATGCAAACCAAAAGAATTGTGTAATTCAAAGTCTGTAGTGGTTTTTGATGCCATCATATTCAGCCAGCAATACTTTAAAAGCCAATTCAGGTGGCACGCAGTGGCTCATGCCTGTAATCCCATCACTTTGGGAGGCTGAGACAGGCAGATCACTTGAGGCCAGAAGTTCGAGACCAGCTTGGCCAACATGGTGAAACCTCATCTCTGATAAAAATATGAAAATTAGCCATGCCTGGTGGTGCAAGCTTGTAATCCCAGCTACTCAGGACTCTGAGGCATGAGAATAAGTTGAACCCAGTAGGTGGCGTTCTCAGTGAGCCGAGATCATGCCACTGTACTCCAGGCTGGACAAAAGAACAAGACTCCATCTGAAAATAAATAAATTAATTAAATAAATAAAAGCCAATTCAGGGAAAATCAACTTTCCAGATACTGAATTTATGGAATGACTTAATTTTAAACACCTAGCACTTCCTCATTTCTGGACATTTTATATAAATGAATGAGCTTTCCCTTAAACATAGATTATTTTTCTTTAGCTTGAATACTTACACTTTCTGAGAATTGATCATTTGACAAATTGACTTCAGACATATTGCTTACCCTCCCCCAATGAAACATTGCTGAAAAAATGGCTTGTACTTGGAGGAGTGCAGGTAGTAATACTTACTTATCCAACGTCATACTACCATCCCTTTCTGTAGCCTCACAAGGATTTATATACATGAATCAAAGCAATAAGCTCACAGAGCTCATCTTCCTTTCTCATAGTATCAAGGTTTACCCTGATAGGTGGAAGAAGGAAGTGATAAATATAACAATATCTAATCTCATGTCCATGAATAAAGAGGGCTTCCTAAGTTTGATTTATAAATGATCATTAGACCTGGCACTTATAGCCTATATGATTTTTCAAAGAGATCAGTTTTGCCTGCAAAGCATGAATGCAATAAGCTGAGTCATCATCTCCAATGTTTCACCCAATTGCTGAATTCAAGGATAGGTAGTAGAAATGGTCTTCAGAAAGTTTTCTCATTCTAAAACACTTAGATCTGCAGTCACAGCTGGACTTCATACGGTTTCAAAGCCACACAGCTGCTTAAGAAACCCCATGACTCTGCCTTGATAAATAGTGGTTCCTTGAAAGTTTGAAAAGCCAGAAATGAAATCCTAATTTCAGATAATAGAAATATAAATCAGAATCTCTTCTGTGCTTTGCATTTGCATGGAAGGTGATGGTAAATTTTGTTCTTTTTCTATCCTTTTATCTATTCTTTGTTGAGCATATGGAAGCTACAGGCAGCCTATGAGTGCAAATATTTACTAGGCTTGAGAATAAGAGGAACAAACACAATCTAAGGAAATAAATACATTGCACTATATAGAATTTAAAGTAAACATTACGTAAAGTGGGCATAATTCATCCTTTGTTTTCCTACTAGATAAGAAAAATCATATAGCAAAGCATAATGTAAGATGCGGTAGTTACCATACATTTAGTATAATGGCTTAAACACATTTTCTCTGTAGGAAGTATTCCTATGATAATAGGGCAATATGAAAAATTGCCTGTGATAAAAATAAAATATGAATGCAAAAGATAACTCAGTGTCTATGACACCCTAAATACAATATTATATTATGCAAATATCCATTTATTCATAATATATACACACTGTGAAATCATATTAAGTAAATATCAATATGTAATTCCATGGAGTTTCCTATGATTATTTTCTAAAATATTAAACTTAACATTTAATAAGTTCAAAGTCTTTTGCCCCACTTTAGTGCCTCAGGTTTTGAATTTAAAAGCTCTTACATTTTATAATACCAACATGCAAATAAACACCAGCCTAGCCATTAAAAAGCATTAATCAAGTGTTGTTTATACTGTCTGAGCTCGTCTAGAATGTACAGACAATGTTAACTCTTTTCTGAATGTATGTGAGATTGCAACAAAGGAAGTTTATGTTAACCAAAATGCTCAGATAATAAACTATTCAGCCACCTTTATTAACATATGCTGTGTAGCAGATCCCACTATTTGCCCACTCAGGATCTATTTGCTCCTTCTGCCTTGCTTAGAGTACCCTGCTTTGGTTTATGGAGGAAGATAGATAATGATTAACATAACCCAACATGAGAATTATTTTTCCTGCTTTGACATTCGCCTTTGCAACTAGTGGTGATCTTGGGACGCAGTTGAGGTTAGTGAGGCTCAGAAGAAAGTCTATTGGAGGAAGTGGGGTGACTTTCCTCGTAAATTAGTACAGATATAGCTGCCCCCTTTTTCTCATTCTTGCTGTGAACATGGCCATGATATCTGGATTTGTAGCAACATCTTGGAACTAGGAGACAGATATGAGAAAGAATTCAAGCATCTACACTATGGCAGAGTGGAAAGATAGAAAAATCCATTTCTAACCCACACTTCACTTCATTTACTTAAAAGATAAAAACTCTCTAACTCATAAGGACTTTTTCTAATGCTTATTTTCCAAACTAAATTCTATATCTTTAAATCTCCACAAAAGACTTCCTTAATATAGCAGAAGTTTAAGTGGACAACTCTACCATGATTCGGGCTTTCATATCCAGATTTTATATATAAAAATGTATAGCTCTATTAATACATGTCAAGTCTGCATTTTGCGAGGGCTGTTCATTTAGCTTTGTCACTTTTCTATTTCCTTGGCCGAGTTTCTTTTCTCTAGTATTCTCCCCCAAATGGAAGCTAAAAATATCCAAAATCTATAACAAAAGGACCTCAAAGATAATACAACAGGACAAACGGAATCTAGTTTTCCAGATACTTTGGGGAGTCCATCATGCCTAATTCTTTGCTGCCACACTGGCAATGAGAATTGAGGATGATCTTGTCTTCCCTTGGGCAGCCGGCTCAGGAGGCTTTGTATGAGGCATGGGGGTGCTACTGCAAATGGTATGGTACATGCAGTAGACAGTAAGAATTGATGGCAAAGATAAATAAAACATCTGTTCATATCAGGTGTGCACTGGGTGAATATCAGCTCTGAATATAGATACAAATAAAATGTAATATTGATTGCTATGGTTATAAATGTTTTATAAACAGATTGTGTGTTTTTCTTAGCATTGAAAGGAAACTAGAGAGGAAATAATTTGAAGCAGAAGCAAAGGAGAAGTAAAAAGTATATAAATATAGGTTTCAGTTGCCACTTACAAAATATAACTAACTAATTTGACCCAAGGTAGAGTTTAACATACTGAAGTCAGCTCAAGGTTAGGAAAGACAAAAAAAAAAAGGTTAAAGGTAGAGAAAGTGATGAAGTCAAATGCTGCTAATATGTCAAGTAGTATGAGGGCCCAAAATTAATCATTATATTTAATTACATGGAGTCATTGGTGATCCTCAGAAAAGCAATTTCTATGGAGTGTTTCGGTGTACAAGCCTGATTGGAGAGAGTTCAAAAGTAAATAAATGGAGGAACAAGTTTATCCACATCACGAGCAAGCAATGAGCCAAATCTGGGATGCAGGACATTCTACAGCACAACTGGCCTGGCTCTTCAAACAAGTGAATGACGTGGAAAAAAGGGGGTAGGAAGAAAGGTTGTTTTAGATTAAAGGATATCTAAGAGCTGTAGCAACCAAATAAAAACTGTGGTACTTATTTGTATCCTGATTAAAACAAACTAGAAAGTTGGAGAAGGTTAAATATGGACTGTTTATTAAACGGGATTAAGTAATTACTGTTAATTGTGTTCAGTGTCCTAATACATTTGTGGCATGTAAAGAAATGTCCTTTATGTTATTTTTGTTGCATTCTGAAGAATTTGGGGGATGAAATTATATGCTCTTTTGTATTAGTTTTGGAATTCAGGAATAAGAGAGGGGGCATGGGAAATAAAAAGGATACAATACAAAGATGCCAGGCTTCAGACAGATCTGTATTGAAATTTGGGGTCTGCTCATTGTTGCCTTTATAAGACATGGTACAGTAAGGCATCTAGTGATTGGAATATAAATGAGTGCGTAGCAATAGGTATTTGTTAAATGAATGAATGGATGAACAGTGAATCAGTGATAGTGGATTATGATGAATTCCAGTATTTTGTAAACAAAAAAGTTGGGGGACATACGCATACACAACTAAAACTATTCTTCTATCATAATGTAAATTGCACTCTACATAAAATATGAAACAAGAATGAGACTCGACTAACTCTGATAATCATCTATATACTAATCGCATCTATATCTTAATGAATGCTTAATCTTATGCATTCGTTGAACACCTGTTCTGGATAAGGCGCTGGGCTTGGCATTTGGAAAATATAGTGAAGGCATAGTCAAAGTCTCTGCCATTTAAAAATATGTAAACTATCTGGAGTTGGGAAGGGAGGCATATGCTTGAATCCAAGGCAGATAGAAATTAGTCAATAGATGTTTGAGTAACACAGTGAGAGGAAACAGAGAAAGGATTTTTTTTTCTGGATGGGTAAAGCAGGAAAGTCCTCATGATTTAAATAAAATTTGAAATTAGAGACTACATGTCTTAGCAAGATCTGGTTGTGGTGTCTTGTTTTTTCCTGGCAACGAGAAAGAGATTACACAAATCAAGAGTTTATTTATTACTAGTCATCAGGTATTAAAACAGCCTTTGGTCCTTAAGCTTTGATCCTAAGTGATTTTTTTTTCTTATGAACCAGCATTTATCTGACCATTGACTCACACACTCCCCAAAGCATATTGTAAGAGTCACTTCCCTTTGTAAAGAGCTGCCACTTCACTCTCCAAAAATATATTAGGATGAATAAAAAATATAAAGACCAAAGATGTTTTAAATCATTATGCAAATAAACAGCTCCCACTCAAATGTGGGAAAGGGCAATGTGAATGCTGGTGGTGGCTCTATAGATACTTGAGCTTTGCAAGGACAAGAAGGGACAGTGCTGTTGCTGCTATGGTTGGCGCTGGATTCACTTTTACCTGTGCATGATGTGCCCTACTGAGCTCTGTTTCCCACCCTTTTTATTTAGATAAGGATGAACAATCTGTGGGGGAAAATTTACTCTAACTTGCTTAATCATTAGCTTCTATTCCAGCAAAATGTTAGAGTAAAAATGGAAGGACAAGGAGAAAATAACACTTCAAAAGAGCACAACTGAGTTAGTGTTGAAGGATACTTAGGCTGTTAGATGGCAGAGTTCTGAAAAATGAATAGATACGTCACTGCAGTACAAAAGCCAAAGCCTTTTATTTACCAATTCCCTTGTGTTTAGTTAGGAGTTCAAAGGGTTTTGAAAGCACTCCTCCGTAAATTAAAATACTCTCCAGATGTTTTGGCACTGTAAATGGCCAGGCTAAAACTCACTTTTAATGAACTGTATTTTAATGTCAGTCTTTCTCCTGTCTCCTTAAATGACAAAGAACTCATCTGACTTTGTAATGAATGCTCAACTGCTCCATTACCAATTCTGCCATTTATTGTGCCTCTGTATTTTCCTGCAAATTCATGGTGATTTTAGATGTATCGAGGAGGAGAAAGGTTGGGAGATTTAGAAAGAAAATAAACCTAGAATCAGTGGGACATGAACTCTCTGCGTAGAATACAAAAACCTAGTTGTGACAATTTCCTTACAGGAAACTGAAGGTTTGAAGGCCAGAGGAAACATAAATAAATACAGAGGATATTGAACAGAATAAATAACCTGAGACTACAAGCTTAGAATCCATGACTTTGAGTTGGCTGTAATTCCTGTATCACATTCTTGATACTTAGAATCAAAGGTTTAAAGAAAATTGTGTCCAGAGGTTTCACAGAACTCAGCTTCAGGATTATTTGGATCAATGTATTTAGAATTGCTTTTGTTTTGTAAACTTACATATATATGACTTTTTTTTCTCTACTGTTCTGCCCAGTGAATTATAAAACCACTGACATCATGACTAGATGAAATGTTATATAATTTTCTTTATCAGTTCCTCCTTTCAGAAGTCCTGATATATTCAATATTTGCATCATTTTGCCACATCAGATCTTTGAAAGGCTTTATGCTGTTTTGATATTTTGAGTTTTGATAGCAATACTTTTATACGTTGAGTAACATATATGTTCAACACTAGCTTTTTACTTACATATGTAACAATCCTTATAACAACCTTGAAAGATGAGCTTGATTATCTCATTGGGCATATAAAACATAGAGCTGAGAGATATTTAATTGTCTAAGGTCACAGAACTAAGAAATGCAAGAGCTCAGAGATTTGAACCCTGCATTAGTCCGTTTTCATGCTGCTGATAAAGACAAACCTGAGACTGGGCAATTTACAAAAGAAATAATTTTAACAACTTACAGTTCCACATGGCTGGGGAAGCCTCACAATCATGGCAGAAGAGCAACTCACATCTTACGTGGATGGCGGCAGGCAAAGAGAGAGAGAGATTGGGTGGGGAAACTCCCCCTTATAATTCCGTCAGATCTCGTGAGACTTATTCGGTATCATGAGAACAGCATGGAAAAGACCTGGCCTCATGATTCAGTTACCTCCCACTGGGTTCTTCCCATGACACATGGGAATTGTGGGAGTTAGAATTCAATATGAAATTTGAGTGGGGACACAGCCAAACCATATCAAACCCTGTTGAGCCTTACTCCAAAATCCATGTACTTTTCTGTCTGGAAACCCATTTTGCTTTTTGGAAGTGAAACTCATGAACAACCTTATAAAGCAAGAATCAAATGTCTCTTAATCAAGTGCCTCAGTTTGCCCAGGATTGAGAGGTTTCCTGAAACATAGAAATTTCAGTGCTAAAACTAGGAGAATCATGGACAAACCATGAAGTTGATAACTGATATGGTTTAGTTGTGTCCCCACTCAAATCTCATCTTGAATTCCTATGTGTTGTAGGAGGGACCCGGTGGGAGGTAACTGAATCATGGGGGCAAGTCTTTCCTGTGCTGTTTTCACGGTAGTGAATAAGTCTCATGAGATCTGATGGTTTTAAAAAGAGGAGTTTCCCTGCACAAGTTCTCTCTTTCCCTGCTGCCATTCATGTAAGATGTGACTTGCTCCTCCTTGCCTTCTGCCATGATTGTGAGGCTTCCCCAGCCACATGGAACTGTAAGTCCAATTAAAACTCTCTCTTTTGTAAATTGCCCAGTCTCGGGTATATCTTCATCAGCAGCATGAAGACTGATTAATACAGTAACTTACATGCCAGGAAAAGCCCCTGTCAAATAATAGAACATTGAAAAAAATTATTGGTGGAATGGATGTGTAAGTAAAATATACTTTATCATATGTTTTCTTCTAGACAGTAAAAGTGACTTGGAATCTTAGAAGCATCAATGTGTAGACCAAATACTGATTTACATACAAATCTAGAAATATGCAAATTTATAAGTGAAATTATATAGAGAGCAGTATGACTCAGCATAGTTTTTCTGTTACTTATGGATTCTAAGTCCTGTGATAAATGTTACAGAAGTAATTCATCGTATTAATTTGACTATTATAATCACTAAGTAAATAAATTCAAATAAAAATGACTTTATTGCATCATATTCTTCTTGCAGTTCCACTATAGAGGAGATGTTTAGGTTAATAAATGTATGTTAGAATATGAAGTAAGGGAGAAATATGTATGCTTGTGTATAAAAAAACTATGATATGTTAAGTATTTAATGAACTTGACATATTTCCTCGTGAACATACTTTTCAATCTTGTTCCTTGAAATTCACTGTTAAAGTAGATAAAGCTGCCACTCTGTTTATAATCATAAACTACTCAAGAATATTATGTTGAAAGATCCTATCTTTAAGACTTTTTTATTTCTTTCATTAATTCTATTATTTAATTTGAATTTATGAATATCAAAAGAAGGTTTTGAAAACAGATTGTGGAAAAGCTTCAAATCACTGAGCTCTTTGAAATGCACTTGGTTTTACTGTATTGCTACTTCATTTGCTTTCTGCATTATACCACTATTTTGTTAAATTTTGCATTTGAAATGTAATTGCCTATTCAGTAATTCCTAGCATTAGTCAGATTTCTTGGATGACATAAATATTGATTTACTTTTACTTTGACTGATAAAAAGAATCACTATCACTGAAGCATGCAAAGAAAAAAAAAAAAAAACCTCTGTTGAGAAGTCTATTCAAGATGCTTTCATTTGAGCAATTTGTGTTTATAATTTTTTAATATGCCAACTTTATTACAAAAGACAAGTAAACTTGAGTAAACTTGAGTAACATTGGAAAGATTGCTTTTGTGGATGTTTGACTGTCATTTGTAGCAGCACCATCGGTGGGACAGCCATCAGTATCACCACTAACGGGGCATAATAAAAGCCATTTGGAGCCTTTCGTATTTGATAACAATACCTATGAAAAATAATAAAAGAAATAGGTAAAATATACTCTTGTAAGTGAGGATTTGTTTTAATATTCCAGTGTATTCATTTCATGAGTAAGGCTGCAAGATGCCTGGTCAATAACCATGGGGTTGGAACAGTGTGGGAACGCATTTCTGGAGAGATTCTCAGATCCTATGCTGTAGTCTAATAACATTTCTTTCACACTGGAGACAACACAGAAAGAAAGGTGTGAGGAGACGATTTTCTTCAGTCGGTTCATTTCCTGAGTGTAAACCAGGGTTTCTCAATTTTGGCACTATTGGCATTTTGAGCTGGATAAATCTTTGTTGTAGGGCTGTCCTGCACACTATAGGATGCTAAGCAGCATCCCTGGCCTCTACTCACTAAATGCCAGTAGCATCTCTCCAGTTGTGACAATCAAAAATGTCATCAGACATTGCCAAGATGTTCCGGGGGAGCAAAAATTCCCCAGTTGAGAGCAATTGGTATAAACTACAGTATCTTCTCCTTCACGTATATCACGTTTTAAAATCAGGTTAATTATCCAAATAACTTGTAGCTGTAGAAGAACAGGTTTAGTTTCTCCAAGTGGGAAGATGGATATGTAGGAAAGAACTAATAAGAAACTTATGGAAAGGTTAGGTCAAAAACTTTGTCCTTTAACTCTGAGAATGGTAGAAGGCGTGTCATCATTTTACATGACCTCTGCCTCTATTACCATCTACTGTATTTTATTTGCACGTATTCAGCCAACAGCTAAGGACTTCGTGAACTTGACTCACTGAAGGGGTCAGACTGCCATGCTCCTGAATTGTTCTTAAACAAATTCTCCATTGCATTAGGCACGAAGAAGCTTTTCTTTAATGTCAGGCATGCTTATCATCTTATTCCTCCTCATTTTCTTCTAGAATATGTGTGGGCACTGAAAAGGCAGTTCTTCCCTATGGATTCAGTTCCTGTAATACACCTTCCATTTACTGGATGCAACATATTTTTTATATATTGCTTTTGGTTTCTTGCTTTTTTTTTTAAAGGTGAAATTATATTTGCAGTGTTTATATCAATTAATGTACAAAATTATTTAAAAAATTAACTTTACAGTAATGTTTATGGCAATGGTTCCCAAATTGTGGTCCCCTGATCAATAACATCAGCCTTACCTGGAAACTTGTTTGAAATGCAAATTGTCACACTCTGTACCAGACCTACTGAGTCAGAAACTCTGAGATGGGGTCAAGCAATCATCTGTGCTTTAGCAAGCCGTCTAGACTATTCTAACAGTCACTAGAGTTTGAGACGCATTTGTGTGCAGCTTTCATTTTGGGGGATGTTGCAGTTTACCTGCAAACTGGAATGTGGGCACCAAATGCCCTTGAATATTTTTCCTTTAGCTATTCCTGTGATAGCAGATTTCTGTAAGTCAGAGAGCTTTAGAAAACTAACTAAAGGCAAAGCAAAACATGTATATTAATAGCATCTCCCAAGCTCATATTCACTTCATTTTTTCTCTTTTTCTTCTTCCTCTGCTTCTAAGAGGCCATAAAACATTTTCTCTTAGCCCTGTAAATTGGCAGTAATTGACAGCCAGCTTGGGAGTTGGGCTATAATTCCAAGTTTGAAGGAGCCAGGGACATGAACCCCTGCTTCACCTCTTAAGATGGATGTTAGGTCAGGAGCAAGGAGCAGTGGGATAAAGGTTTCCCTGGAAGCTTGGACTCAAGGCTATTGCCTGCAGCCTTTGCTTTCCATACATTGACTTCAATATAAGGGCTGCCAAATGAAAATACCTCTCACCAGCGTTATGGTCATTTTTCTTTTTAACCTACACCTGAATGACCCAGGAAGGGTTATATCCAATAACAAGTTTATCTGTGCTAGCTGACAAACTCCACATGTTCCCATCACCCTACAGAAAACAGTGCAAGAGATTCCAAGCTAGTGCTCCATTTAGCAAATGGCAAATAATAACGTCATCTTGACAATTACAAGCTGTTTCATGCTACTGACATGTCAGCAGTAGTAATTGAATATATAAAACTTCTAATGATATCAGGTGTCAATCTGTGCTTCATCCTGTCAACAAATGCTTCATGAGCATCTATTATATCCAGATACAGTGTACATAAAATTAAATATCATAGTCCTTGGCATCAAGATGCTCACAGTCCCATCAAGGAAACCATAAACCAATAATTATTTAAGAGCTAAATGCTATGATCAAACACATGCTAAGAGCTAAAATAAACTTACATCTGGATCTTTTAAGATACTACGATATTTCACGATTTATCCTTAGGACCTCTTGCTAAATGTTATATTTCTCAAGTCATGTATATTTTCTGATTTTTGGCTCAGAGAATAGGCAAAAAAGCCTATGGACTTAATTTTCAGTCTAGTTTTTCTGCTGATTTCTGTATATTCTTTTCATATTATACTGCTTACTGTTTGTGAAATATATGAAGGAATTCAGACATTTTTCTGGAGGCAACAGAGTCATTGTATTTACAATTCTAGGAGGAACCCAAGTATTTGCATGTTTTAGGGCATCTGGCAGGTTTTGCAGTAGTGGCTGGTGGTGAGAAACTTCCTAGGAGCGAGTAATAAATACCATAGTCTAGAATTTGGGCAGCAACTCAAATGGAGGCCAAAGAAAAGTAAAATTAAAACAAAGAGTGTGAATCATGTCTTTACATAGAAAAGTGTCAAAGCTCTCTTTAATAAGGGTGATATTTAAAACAATAGAACTGGTTCACTGCAGAAATATTTTCATTTAGATCCTGAAAGAAATTAATAATAAATTAAAGATCAATATCAGGAAAGTTTTTAAAAGATAGATAACTAGTAAAAAGGAATCTTTCTGTAAATATATGACCATCTATTAAAATGGTCTTCCCATAATATTTTATTTACCAACCTATTATGCTAGACTCTCAACTTGAAAAATATAGATGCTCATAAAAAATAAAGCAGAGAAATGAAATTCCTACCCTAGGGAGTGATAGCCGATAAGTGAGGAAGTTTATTTTTGTGTACCACTCTTACCACCACCATCACCACTGCCAAAAGGCATCTTTCTAGTCTTTACCTCCTCTGTTTATAGCAACTTCATTGACCTCACTGTTCAATTCAGAAACTGGAGATCTGTCTTCACTTCTCTCTCTTACTCTTCATTTAAGACTAAGTCCTGTGTACTCTTTCACTAAACTGGCACTCCAATGACATCATCTGAGTCAAAGATAAGACCACTTCTCCCTTGAATATGTTGTATCCTGCCAATTACTTTTCTCATCTCCACTTTTGCCTTCATCATCCATTCTTTACATAAAAGAGCAATCTTTTAAAAGAGTAAACGGGAATTCTCCTTTTTAAAACACTTTAGTGGCTTCCCATTGCTCTTAAAATGAAACTTAAACAACAGCATATAAGGTAACCATTACTAATATACCCAGATTACAGGTGAGGGAACCAAGCTTTTAACACTTAATTTTATCAAAAACATATGATTGGCAAATGGCTGAGCCCAGCCAATCTCAATCTAAGTAAGTAATCTGCTACACATTTGCTGCCCCCTGGAGTGCTGGGTTTACGGTATTACTGGATAGACATGACAAGATACATAAAGCTAATTATAGGACAATCATGCCAAGAGCTGTCAGATATAAATATTAATAATGATAATCATAATATCAACAACTAAAATTTTCCAAGCATACATGTTGAAGACCTATAAACTCAAGGCTTTGTGCAATGTCATTTTTAATTCTCACAGCAAAACTCATTTATTCTGAATACCAATGTAGGATTTTGAACACAGATGGGTAGCATATGGAATTAAATATTCTGTAATCAATGTATCCTACCGTTTACTTGCTGTGTGATTTGGAGAGAGAATTAATTCTAAGCCTCAGTTTCCTCACTCTCTTTAAAGGGCTTAATAATAATGTTTATTGGCGGGGCGCGTTGGCTCACACCTGTAATCCCAGCATTTTTGGAGGCCAAGGCAGGTGGATCACGAGGTCAAGAGATTGAAACAATCCAGACAAACACGGTGAAACCCCGCCTCTAGTAAAAATTAAAAAAATTAGCTGAGCATGGTGGCACGCACCTGTAGTCCCAGCTACTTGGGAGGCTGAGGCAGGAGAATCACTTGAACCTGGGAGGCGGAGGTTGCAGTGAGCCGAGATTGTGCCACTGCACTCCAGCCTGGCAACAGAGTGATACTCTGTCTCAAAAAATAGATAAATAAATTAAAAAAAGATGTTTATTTTATGTAACTGCCTTGAACACAGAAAAGGAGATTTTATTATAAAACATCTGCAGCTAAAATAGTGACAATATCATTAGAGGTATGTTTTCATATGAGTATGTGTTTAGATGTATTTACTTAAGTGGCTTAAGTAAATTTAAGTCATTGGTAATTTTAACAATGCTTTTTAAATAAGTAGATCTATGTTGACACACTGAGGCCATGTAGAGGAAGTAGAATATTGTCATGGTGGCCAAATAACAAATATTTTTCTTTCCTTTAATATTAGCAATTTTATACAAGTATTTCATTAAAGCAATTTAACTGAATGCAATTTAATTATAGTCCATTTGTATCCAGAATTTAATCAGAGAAGAAAACCATTAGGAGATCAATAGGCAGATCTATACAATTGTTACATGAATCTTACCTTATGCAATTGTGGGAGTTAGTTAAATAGTTTCCGCAAGGTTTTTGTCTTTGCTTGTGGTGCTGGAGCTTGAAGTCCACAAGGAAGGTAGTTGGAAAGGGAAGATGATTGTAAAGTGGGGAAAGTAAAAAAAAATCTAGAGTTAAAATATACAAGCTGGAGCCACAGAACAATAAACTGAAATGCATGCCATTTCTTGTTGCCTCTGACCTTGATGGTATAGGTTAGGTCCGTCAGAAGATGAGTCTCCTCACCGTGGAGTTAAATACAAACACCTGGCCGCAGAGTCAGAAAAGCTGAAGAAATATCAAAGGGAAGGTGCACTAGTTGTAGGTCCACCTCATGCCTCACATCAATAATTTAACCAGACTGACAAAAATATGTGCAAGATATAAAATAGTTGTTGCTTTACTTCCACCCACTAAATCGCCTGCAAGAATCTCTCTTGGCCCACCCTAAGTGGAGATATACAGGGAAGGGTACTCTGGGAAATGTAGCCCAGTACAGCCAAGCTGACATAGTTTGCAGAGCCAGCACAATCCACTCCTTACCAATTTGGCACTCATAAACATCTTAAATCATACTTAGACTACACAAAAGATCATGACAAAGTCAAACTTCCACCTAACATGGTGTATCTCTTCTAAGTACATCTGAAAATAGGCTTTTTTCCTTTTAGTAGAACACAACGTCGTGTTGTTGTTTTTTTGTCTTTGGATGATATTTATTCTTCTCCCAATGCATGCTTCAAGTTGGATATCTTGTAATTTCAAGACTATGATATAAATTTAATTACTATTAATACATCTTTGATAAGAAGAAAGAGAAAGAAAAGGGAGATACTTGGTTAATACAAATACAAACATAGTTATACCAAAATAAGAAATAAGTACTCACACTATTCTAGTCTTGTTTCTATAATTGGTCATGTGGCCATAACTGATGTTTATAGCTACCTTCTTCCCCTACTCATTTCATATTTTCTTTGCACTGAGCTAGCCTCTCAACTGGTCAATGTGGCGTAGTGACACAGTTCTCACTTACTGAAGTATCTGGAAACATCCTGAATTGGGCTGCTATAGTTTTCCACATACTTTAATCACAGGACCTGGGAATACCAACAAACATTCTAGAGGATCTCCCGCATCATAGAAATGCTCCTCTTACTCTGTTTGTGTAGTGGCCACCGAATTTCTCCTGGGTGGTTAGGATCTATAACTCTCTTCTTTGCCCGTTGATTCAGAGGCATGAGGAGCCCAAAGTGTTCAGGTGGCAGTCTCAACTTCCTGTTGAATGGAATCATTGTCATGTCTCCTGGGAGATGCATTCTTCTTTTGGAACCCAGATGTCTAGACCAGCAGAAACTGAAGTGGTAAGGATGGAAGACAAAAATCCAGTTATTGGATTGCTAGGGATAATGTTCAGAGGAAGCATTCTTATTTCTACCCCTTGGTTCCTAGATATGTAAATCCTAGTTGTTAGAGAAACAACGTCATATACCATATGCTGATTTAATGCACATATTTTATCCTGGAGGACATTTTTCTAGCCCTGCATTATGTTGCCACCCAGATGCTGTCATGAATAAGACTTGAAAGGGCCATTTCATCAGTCCATCAAGCTAGCTGCTTCAGCACAATAGAGAATATGATTAGACCAGTAAATTCCATGGGTTTGGGTGTATTGCTGCACTTTATTTGCTGTGAAATGAGTTTCTTGGTCAGAAATGATGCTATGTGGAATATGGTGAATAAGATATCCTGTAAATCTGTGGACAGTTTGAAGATGCACTGCAAGTAAGAAGGCAAATCTATATCCAGATTAATAGCTTGACCAGTGAAAACAAAATGCTGTGCCTACAATGACAGAAGTGGCCCAATGTAATTAACCTGGCAACAGGTAGCTGGCTGATCCTTCAGGAAATGGGGCCATATTGCAGGAATGGCCCCATTCCTGCAATTCGGGGTATTCGGCAATGGCTGTAGCTATATTGGCTTGGGTGAAAGAAAATTCATGTTGGTGATGCCATAGATAACCTTGATTCCTGCCATGATGGCCACTTTATTTATGAGCCCATTATATAATGACTGGAGTGGCTGGGAAGCCAGTAATGAAAGACATATGTAAAGTCAGGGAGATTTAGAAGAAGCTGGAAGCTACAGGCATAGGCTGAAACCCAGTGAGAATTTACATTGAAACCTGTGTATGTTCTCACTGCCTCTGAAATTTTTGGCACGGATGATCTGAAGTAGTTGAAGTTTTTCATCATGAAGTTAAACACACACACTTGGCCCAAGAATCAAAGAAACTGAAGGACAATTTAAGAAAATATAGAGCAGTCTCAGGCCCAGCTGTAGCCTCATGCCAATGAGGTCAGTTGAAAGATCAGCAGCAACATATGTGAGCAACAACATGGTGCCTGTTTTGCTTCCTTTCTCTAAGTCTCACAGAAGAATGTCTTTGTGGTCCATCCTAAACAGAAGCATACAAGAAAGGAAATTCCAGAAAACGAAGTTCAGACTAGCCAAGTTAAACATTACAAAGCCACTTCAAAATGGTAAGAAATGTTAGGTCCCTAGATGATTGAAGTCACTATATATTTTTGGTTTGGAGAACTTTATTATAGACAGAGAAGGGAGAGTTCAGAATTGGAAATCTGGAGAATGGGAGTTTCTGTCATAGTTCAATCATTACCTAAACACACGATCTTTGTGAGTCCTTTATCCTTACCCAGCCTTCATTTCTTTAGTTGTAAAATGAAGCGGATACCCTGGATTATATTTGAAAGGCTTCCCTGTTTAGTAGGTAAAATAATTGTTGGTCAGGATGCTGAGAAACAAATTCTGGTTATACCCCCTTCTGATCCTTGTGCAAGAGCTTGGGCTTTCTGTGCCTCAGTTTCCTCTTCGGTAAACAACAATAGTATTACAGAACTCATAGCAATGTTCTAAGAATTAAATGAGTTAAAATACTTAAAGCTCTTAAAGTCACGAGGAGTATGTAGTCATCACAGATTAAATGTTAGCTAGTGCAGTAGCCACAATTTGCCTGTGAATTTTATAATTTCTTGTCTCCTGTAGAGGTCTAAAAACCATATGCACTGTCTCAAAGTCAGTGCTTTGACTTAGGAATTAGAAGGAAATTACCACAGATCTTGGTAAATTTGTTTTGTCATTGGTAAATTATATGATTTTTCTCTCTTTTTTGATACTGATGCTATTAATAAGGTGCATTGATTATCCATAATGAGGTGGACATGGTACAAATATGCAAATAAAGCAATTATTTAGTGGCCTTAACCAAGGGAGAGTATAACAGGGTATGGAAGGTTATTAATGGTGTAAAGAATGCTGACAAAGGAGCTTTTTCTCTTTAATAACAATGCCTAAAGAAGTGGGTTTCAAGTAATTTAAATAAATAATACTGATATGTATTTGGAGAACTACCAGAAATGATCTTTTGTAGACATAAAGTCTGATCTTAGTTGAATCTTTGATTTCTTTTTACCCACTCACCATTCTCTCCCCTTGTTTCAGTAATCTAAATACCATGTAAGGGCATGTTCTGAAGCCTGCTTACCTACCCTTCTCAAATAGCTGCCTACTGCTCTTGCTCTTGTGAGCTCATTTTCTGCCTTCACTCATGTTCTTACTGAGGGTATATGAGGAAGACCTCATTAAAACAGAATCATTATGTATAAGAAGAAAGAATCATTAAATTTAAAGAAGGAAGCAGAGAAGGGAAGGGGATTTATTGCCTCGCGTAACTAAGAAACCCAGTGGGCATTGTGGCTTCTGACATGACTGCATCTGGAATTTCAAACAATGCATCTGCTTCTCTCTCTGTCTCTCCTCCTCCTCACCTCCCTCATCCACTCATCACTATCCCTCATCCACTCATCACCATCCCTCAGCTTTGATATATTTATTATACATTAGCAGGTTTTTCTATGTGCCAGGAATAGTGGCTTCTAGTAGTTCCAGAGTTTGATTCTTAAAGCTGGTTGGCCCAGAAAAATAGAGTTCATGTATCTCCCTCAATGTCCCTATACTCTAATACAGTCATACAGTCTGCTTTGGTTACCTACCCGCCCATGTGTGTCAATCTGCTTGGGCTGCCATAGCTGAATGCTTCAGTCTGGGTGGCTTAAACAACAGAAATTTATTTTCTCACAGTTCTGGAGGCTCAAAGTCCACGATTAAAGTGCCAGCACAGTTGGTTTCTGGTGAGATCTTTCTTCCTGGCTTGCAGACAGCCACCTTCTCATGGCCTCAAGTCCCTAGTCTAATTCTATTTCTTGATCTCGGTTTTTTTTTACAAATGTTTTTTTTTCTTAGTCACATACTTATTATATTTTGTTTTCTGTATCTGTGTCTGTGTTTTCTGCATCTATGTTTTACCTTACAATAAAAAGGTAACTCTATGGCTAAGTCATGGGATAGCAAGTTTCTAATTTAAAACCATATATACCAATTCTCTTTACAGTAACCAAAGATAGCCAAATCGCCAAGGCTGAGGTTAATGTTGTGGGGAACTGTAATGATCTTACAAGAAAGGTAAAGAATAAATGGGAACAAAAATGGACCTGTTACAAATAGAATGACACAAAACTAACAAAAAGGGGTGGTTACTCAAACTAAAAGAGTAGTGCCAGGACTGCTGAGAAGTAGCTGGCCTCTAGATATATTAATAGGCAAGTCCTGGGAGAACTTGATGATTAATTCCATATGAGTATTGGGAGAAAAGGTTATATATTTCCGAATTGAACTACAAGGTCAATAGTGACATCTTTCAGAGAAAGGGAACAACTGAGGATGTAAAGTAAGGTATAACAAAGTTGGGAAGGGAAGAAGATTATGAGTTCAAGTTAGACAAATTGTCTCTAAGTCACCAGTGATATGTGCAAGAGAAATACCCAAGCAATTTATATAATTAGAGGTTGACAATTCAAGGGAGGAATCCCAGCTATAAATAAATATTTGGAAGATGTCAGCATGTAGAGCACTACTGATCCATTCTCTGGAAAATATGTAGAGTGAGTTGGAAGAAGTATAATAGATTTCTAAGCATAAGAAACATTTAAGGACTGGGCAAAGAAGTAAGAGATCCTCTCCCTCTAAAAGCAGAGATTCTGAGATGAAGAAATTTAATGGTATAAGAAAAATCAGAAAAGTTAATTTGGGGGGGGCAGAGAAGGAAAATAAACATAGCTTAATATTCAGAGAATTCAATTACATAAATCCTAATACATTTTGGCTGAAAAAGGGTTTGCCATTGGCATGTTCATATTTTGATAGAGAAAACAGGCAAAGGTCACTGGTGTTGAGGAAATGGTGAAATAGAAGTTTGGGTGTTGGTTGGGCCTTCTGCATGGATGTTGAAGTCAGCCAGGATGACTGCAGAACATTAGGAAGAGAAGTCTCTCAGCCAAGACCAGAATAATCCGTGCATGGGAGGAGATAGAAGTTAGAAGGAAATATCCCTAGTTGCCTGGCTTTCTCCTACTTCTGCTAACAGCCCTCAACCTCAAGTGTTACTTTTTAGGGAAGTCTCCCCTCAACCCCACAACACTAAGTTGGGCATCCCCTAAAAGTCCCTGTGGTGTCACTTAATTACCCCGTTATATCCTTTAACAACTCTGCACTAAAGTGGAACAGTTGGCTTTCTCTCCATGAGTCTATTCGCTCCTTTAGCTAACTTCAAGACTATGCCTGTTATTTCTCATCTGTTTAGCACTGTACTTGGCACATAAAAGTCTCTTCAAAAATGTTTGTTGATAGAATGAATACATGAAAATATAAATAAACAGGAGGAGTGTGGAGGGGCAGGTTATCAAGGAAGCAGTGGGGTTTACTCAAAGATAGAGGAGTACTGAGGGAGAACAGACTGCAGCTTCTGGCCCCCCTGTAAGAAGTCCAACAATGCCAGGTTTGCTGGTGCTGACAGAAATACCCTAGCCTAAAATTGTGAACTTCGATTATTTCTGTGCACAAAAAATCTAGTAAAACTTAAGCTCCCAAAAAAATAAAAAAGGGTATCACTGGAAAATTCAAGAGAACACATTTTTTTTTTCAGGAAACATAACATGTAAACCCATCCTCTTTTACTCTTCAAAGTTTTTTGAGTAAAACAAGCTGTCAAAAATTAAATAGAATTGTTTTTAGTCTCATTATTTGACATGTTAGGGAAAGGGTATGGAATAAGAAAAGATGGAACATAGTAGAAAAGGGCCAGAAAATAAAGGAAGATAAAGACCTAGGAATAAATAAAAGGATATTGTCTAGTTAGTGAGATCAAACTTGGTATGATAATATTTGCTGACCTTCTATTCTGTACTACACACTACATTCTGTATTTTCACTGAAAATAAGGTTTCTCTGTTTTTAGATTAATCCTGCAAAGTAGGCATTATTATGCATGAGAAAAAGATTTAGAGAATTTATAATTTGTTCAAACAGATAAATGCTGCAATTGGGATTCAAATCTAGCAGCCCCTACCCCGCTTTTCACTACATGGGTGTTACATTGAGGTGTTATCCCTCAAGAATTTGAAATGAAAGACAATGTCTGAAAACTGTGTGAAGAGAGATTCTGTGTGTGTGTGTTTGTGCACATGTACGTGTATATATGTATATGTATGTTTATACATCTATCTATATGTATCTATGTATTTGTGTATCTGTCTATCATCTATAAGAGAGGGATTATTTTTGGTCAGCAAAAAACTCTGTAGACTGAGCAGGCAAGGATTATTGCAAATACTGCCTGTGCCATGTTAAGAGCACCATTTTCAGAATTGTCTCTGGATGGAATAAATCATCATAAGCAGTGGGATTGTACTTTAACTGCTAGTATGAAATTTTTTTAAAGGTCATAATATAATTTGAGAATATAATCTCATTATGGGGCAATATTTCATCCTCATATTTATGGAACAAATATATAAGATTTATTTCCTCTTTTAACTCTACATATGTTAGGTGGTAATATTTTGAGGCCAATGAATTATAGTTTAAAAAAAATAGCAGACTTTAAGATCAGTAGAAATTCCAAATTTAGATTTAAATGTATTTTAAATAAAAGGATCTTTTTTAGAATATGTAACTTTTTAGTGTACAAGATATGTTGTTATGTTTGCTGCAACTTGGGTAAGAAATAAAGATAGCTATAAATCAAGGTAAAATGAAATATATGACCAAGAAGAATTTTAATTATATTATGTAACATTTTTATTGTGTCTTGTTTTGGTCTTACATTTGCTAGAGAATTTTTAATATTTACACTGACATTTTTGAATACAAATTAAACTGCTGAGGAGTTCTGGAGGTTCATCGTGTCTTGGGGTCTTTTACTGTGTGGAGACTTCCCTTTTGACACTTAAAGAGAGGAGAGTTGACTCACTAATAGAATCACCAGTTCTGGTTTTCCAACATAGTTTTGGAGGTCACAAGGTTACAGAATTCAATTTCCTTGATGTCAGTCTCAGTCCATCATTGCCCACATGGACTCACTCCTTGTTTTGACCTTTTTGTTTTCTTTTCTGGGAAGGAAGAAGAAGTATGCTACTTAAGTCAGTTGGCTTAGTGAATGTTTTCATGTTTATGTTAATCAGAATGGGAATCACCTGTGATATCTATGGTTCTAAAAGAATAGAAATAAATACTAAAGCATCACAGATTTTATTTTATAAGTTTATCCTGTGTGCTAATATTTGAAAATTTTTTTCAGGTTTGACTAGCTTTCTCTCTACAATTAATTACATGCAGACATAAGGATGTATTGATGATATTTGCTCAAAGATTTACTCCTTAATTTTAACTGGCTTTTAGTTTAATATCTACTACATTAAAATATATAATAATTCTCTATTATATGCAATATGCTGTGGGTAAGTTCAGGGTGGAAATCAAGATATATGAGCCAGGTACTTAGGAGCAACTAATTCCAATTTAGGAATCATGGAATGAAAGAGAAAACAAATCCCTTCTTAAAAGAGTCTCAGGGTTTCAATATGTAAAGAACAGGCATAAGGAATAGCAAGAGGCTATACAGAGATCGGTGGGGATTTGTTCAGAGTCTAACATGCCTGGAAGGTAGGCCAGTGGGCTGTGAGAGGGAGTAGAGCTAGAGTGGACATCAGAGAGAAAAGGACCAAAGACTGAAGATAAAATTGGTTACATTTGTCACTGGAAGCAATTGTATCTCTTTGGCTTGCCTCTGAATGCAACTAAATAGTAGACACCTGTCATGGATATATATATATATATATATTTTTTTTTAAAGTACCTGGAGTCAATACTTAAGGTATTGAGCTGCTTGCTTAAAGAATAAATCAAGCATCCAGACATGTCCATCTCAGGAGAATTGTATTTAAAACACCCTTTAAAAAAATCTATATTGATATCTATCTTCTTTGGATCTATATATGGAATTTTTTGTTTGGGTTTCATGTTTAGTTTTTAATCTCATAACATATATCAAGTTCAATTTTTGGTTTTCTTACAAGGTCTTGAGAGATACTGAATTGGTGATTTCAGATATTATTGGTTTGGGAAGGTCCATTCTAAACTGTAAAAATATATATAATATTTTGCTGACACAGTTAAGTGACCTGCAGAGTCAATGTCTCAAATCCTTCTCATTCTTCATCTATCCTCCCATCTCTGAGGTCAGCCCGCTGACTATGTGATTGAAATCAGAGAAACCTCAGGTAATCTATATTGGAGGCAGGTGTTTTATTTAACCCTGGATGATTCAATCTTATATGACTTGGTTAGATGACAATCACTGAACCATGAAATGCCATGTATCTCTGTGGCTATTGTTTTATAAATAAAATCATTGAAGAGAGTTTCATTATAGTAAGAGCCACTGTGTGAGATGTATCAGAAAAATAAGTTGATGGACCATAGACAGGCAACTTTTATTTAAAAAACAAGCAAAAAACCCCTTATTTATACTCATCCCAATTTTGCTGCAGTTTCTATTATATTAATAATTATTTTATAGAAACGTTAACTAGAAACAAATAGTCCTTTAAATCACAAGCATATTTAAAGGTATACCGAATATTCATATCATTAGCAGACGGTGCCATACAGCGAACAAATAAGCCTTCCTTTACACAGAACTCTTTATTTTAAAATCTTTTGATAACAGAAGTGAAACAACAATAATTCAAAGTGTTGGGCTTTGGGAAATACCGAGGTGACATTTTGGATGCATGTGGCTTAAAAGGGAACTCAAATACAAAGACAAATTCTCTTTATCTGTCCTGATGTTCTGGCTAAGAGATTAAATTGAATATTGAGTCTAGAAAATGTGAACGTGCTGTTTTAATGATGAAAGAAAAAGAGAAAGAAAACAGTATAAGTACTGATTATCTAGATGACAGTAAGATGTGGATATCTTTACATCTTTCTCTAGGGCGTAATAGTTGGAAGAAAAAAATAAGGCAAAAATATGTCAGGGTTGATTGGTATTATATACAGAAATACCGGAAGAATATATAATGAGGCTGAGAATATGGAACTAATGAAGAAGTGTTACAAGAAAGAAAAAGGAAGATTGGTGTGGGAAACTGGAGGTGAAGTAAGGAGTAGTCAGTGAGGCGATCAGACAATTTCTGTAACCCTCCAGGCCCTGAACACACAAAGGAGCCCAATTAGAAATAAACGAGCTAGAAGAAACATTTCATAGTAAATTGGGGATTATCAGTTTGCCTAAAGGGAATGAAACCAGAGCATTGGAGCCTCCTTGTTTCAGAACCACTTGCTTTATGTTTCTTTTTTAAGATTGACACCAATGTTCTTGCTTTTCATATTATAAATTTTTAAAAATCATGTATAAAACAAATTAACAATTGAAGTTTCTGATTTTTGAGAGAGAATTTATTTTCAACTGAATCATGGATACAAAAAGATTTGAAAAGTATTTGTCTCATGTTTTATCTTTTTTGTCCAGACTGGGTCACTGTCATGTCCTTTGGGCATTCTCAAATTTCAGACTTTTTACTTTGAATTTAGCCTGCACCTTCTCCAGATGTAGGTAACATATATCTTACATGTATAGGAATATGGTACTTGGTTTTGACTTGGCAGAATATAAGCAAACAATTTAAGGTCATTTCTGGATGCTTAAATAAATTGAAAACACAATAATAGAAAAAATGGATTCTTTTTAAACAGAAAAATGAACAGTACATAGAACCAAGATGCTTTTTTTTCAGTGTCGTTCAGCATATCAGTTCTGGCCTCTGGTTAGTCATTAGATAAGTCTAGGCGAACACAAATTATTATTATCTTTGTGAAATGAAGGACCTCATGAATGAGAGCAGTGGAGTTTCTCATCCGCCACTGAAAGATATATATTTTTTCATTTTCTCTACAATATATTTCAAAAGACGAAGTTTTGTATGACCATCTATTCTGGCATCACTGGTTCTTCCACAGCAGCCATGAAACACAAAACGTTCAACCTTTCATGGCTATCTGATTTTCTGGAGGTAAGACTGGCATCTTCCATTTTAAGATACCCAGTTGTCTACCCTTTACATACCAGAGGGCGATCTAGGCAGGATTTGAAGGATTATCTGCCAGGTATTAAAATGATTAGCCGGGCAAATTTATTCATTCATTCATTCTACAAATATTTGTTGAGCACCTGGTACTTGGCTGTGTGCTTAGGGACAAAACCCCAAATGCAATACTTTCTCCAGCCTCCAGGAAATCACAAGTAAGCAAATAATCACAATAGAGTGTGATAAAGGCATGATGAAGGAAGCCTGGAGGGGAGGGGTCACTAGGCAATTTAGAGGGGAAGGAGAAAGTCAGAGCAGGATTCCTAGAAAAATAGACTTTTGTACTGATCTTTAAACAGCAAAGAGAAAAACTGAAATCGACTATTTGAAGGTGGGGTTTTTTTTTGTTGGTGAGTAAGGTTAGAGGTAGTGTTTCAGAAGGAATTTCCTTCATTGTTAATTTAGTAAATATATATTGAGCAACTATTACATTGCTTTGCTGGGCCGTGGGCAACAAATGATGAACAGGTCAAAAATGTTTGATCCTGCCTGCAACTCTCATGCTAATGGGAAGACAGACAATATGCAAGTAACTACAGTAAGAGCTAATATTTATCAACTGCATACTATGTGCCAGACACTGTTCCTAGGCTTTATTGAAAAGCACTAATTTGAACCTTACAGCAACCCACTGCAGAAGTTCCTGTTATTTTTCAGTAAATTGGAAAACAGTGACATGCAACTAATAGAATGATAGGCTGGGGTTCAAAGCTAGTCAGCCTGGCTTTGGAGTTAATGCTTTCAAGTACTGTGATATATTGCCTATCAAAGTAAGTAAAGGATATATAATATCACCTTAGGTGTTGGTAAGCAATATGAGGAAAAAGAAAAGTGGAAGCAGAGAGAATGGCTGAGGGGAAGGTGCTGTTCTAGAGAGCAGACACTGTGGGCACCCTGCACGTACCCTTGGGTTTGACCACTTCGGTAGACTCAAAACAACCTCCACCTGCCGGTAGCTACATTGTCTTTATGAGCTTTTTCTGATGCCAAAAAGATGGTGGCTGTAGTCTCTAACATGATGGAGCTGAAGTAAAGGGGAATTAACACCTCCCAGAACAGTTGTCACCTTTCAGATAAGCTTTCATGGCTTTACAAATATCCCCAGCGTCATCACTCTCAGAAAAGGATAACTCCAAAGCATGGGTTAGACTGTTTTCTGGAATTTTCCTGCAGATGGAGCTCCACTGGCCCACAGTGGTGGCAGCTGCTGTAAATGTGCAGTTTCTATTGGCTCTGTTCCTTGCCTGTGTCACTTCCTCCCTCCCCTGCCAGTGTTTTCCTTGACCTCCAAAATGAGCTGTTTATACTTAAATCCTAGTCTCTCAGTCTGCCTTTGGAAAAACCTAGATGACGACTGGCTGGTCAGGAAATATATCTCTTAGAGAAATTGGGGAAAGTGCATTCTAGGTAGAGGAAAAGAGAAAGGCACTAGCAATAAGTCCGCTGTGGCTGGCTAGAGTGGAGTGAGGAGGGTTAAGTAGGAAATGAGCTTGCTAGAGGGGTAGGAAGGACTAGGTAGGAAAGGTCTTTTTAGGTTATGGGTAGTAGTTTGGAAAGCAAAAAGAATAGCACACTGTTCTATATGAAACAAGAAAAAGAGGCTGAAAGAGAATTAACTCTAAAACAGACTCTAGAGAAGATCTAATCTGGGCCTTTCTTTTTATAGATGAGGAAAATGAGGCCCAAGGGGTTTAAATGACTTACCCAGGTCACCTTCATAGGAACAGAAAAAAGAAAGGTCTTCTACCCAAATATGTATCCCAAATCTGTCTGATTCTCAATCCACACTAAAGAGAGTCATGTTCATTTTAGACGCTTATCGTAAGATTAACAAGTGAAAGAGAAATGCATAAAAGAGAAATAATATTATTGAGTGCCTCATTAGAATGAATCAGCAGCAAACCAGCAATATCTGTTTTTTGGTTGTTGTTTGTCATTGCTGTTTTCTTTTACCACTAGTTCTTCACGTTCATTGCTTCTAACTCCCACCATGCAAGACACAGCAGCTCTTTGCACTTTCCCCAGCAAGGGGTGAGTGGGCAGAGCTGCAGGTGCTTTCCATCCTACTGAATTCCACGTGGGCACAGGCAAGGCAGGTCTGGAAGCCAGGCCAAATTTCACATGGGCATCTGCGATGAGGAGTTTCTGCTCTATAGGGTCCCTAGCTCAAACCCTGTCATTACTGTGGATTCTAACACCTGCCAGTAAAGGGGTACTTGATGGCAAGAGGTAACTCAATCACTAGCTTAAAGCACTCTATCCAAATAGTAAGTTTGGTGGATTGAATCTGTGTGTGACTCTGTTTTCAGAACTAAGCAACCACATGATGAATTCATTTGGAGTGTTTGTTGTTTACTGCATAAGACAAGATGAATTCTAGTAGTGCCAAAGGGAGGGATTGAATCATTTATTAAGTACAGTCTTGGACAGGTGTCTCAAATGTCAATTCTAGGATTTAATCTAAACTAATCTTCAGAAAAGTTAGATTTAATGGAAATGAGAACCCAGAGGAATTCGAAGTAGAGGTAGCTGGATGCTAAATCTCAAACGCTGCTGCTTGTGACAATCTTTTAAATAAACTTTCTACTTGGCTCTTATCCTTCTGTGTTCTGAGGTAGAAAACGTTTGGAAAACTGATGCTAGCTCATCGGTAGGTAGGATTTATACAAAACAAGTTGTTTTCTCTTTATTTCTGATGCTGGCATATAGTCAGTTATTTGCAAATAAGCTACATGGTCATATCTGAGATCAGACCACAGAGATTTTGGCCTCTGTAGGTGTCACTGCAGAGTTTATACATATAGGATATACTTATATCCTGCTAAAGTAGGTCATATTTTCTGATCACAAATTATGAAGCCACAGGCAGAGTTTGAAATTGATAAGGAAAAACTGCCTAAATGGCTACCACTCATTATATCTAAATATTGGCAGGTCAAAAAAAAAAAAAAAAAAAATGGGAGTTATCTATCACTGAATGCAATTTGGAAAATAAGCTGTAGTAGTTGTCTCATCTTCAAGCCACTGTATTTCTAACTAAATAATAAAAATATTTTAGTCGTGGATAATATTTTTGCCATATGCGTGTGCATGGGTGTGTGTGTGTAAATTTAAAAACCTTGGCTTTCAATACCACAGAATTAAATGCATTTTGTGAATGTATTAATCCAAATTAATTTCTCAGAGATGGTATTTGAGAGTGCTTGCTGGTGGCTCTTATAACACTGGAAGTATCTATAGCATGTTTACTTTTTAATATTGGAGAGAAAAGGGCTGAAATGAAAACAACTGCTACTGATGACCTATTCCATGCTATAAAATCCAAAGACTATTTGAAGAGACAAATTATTACCAAGAAGTTCGAGTAGAAAAAGTATAGTTGAGGTGAATTTAAAAAAAATATGAAAGAAGAGCACTACTCAGATAAGGAAGCAGACCGAGGTGCAAGAGCATTAAATAAAACAGTGAAGTCTATTTAGTTGCCAGATAAAATTTCTAGGTTCTGCAGAAGTTAACAAATAATTTATTTCTTTCCTCTCTCTCCCCTTTTCCTTTCCCTCTCCCTCCTTTCCTTTTTCCTTTCTTCCTTCCTTCTTTCATTCTTTTCTTCTTCCTTCTTTCATTCTTTTCTTCCTTCTTTCATTCTTTTCTTCCTTCCTTCTTTCATTCTTTTCTTCCTTCCTTCTTTCATTCTTTTCTTCCTTTTTTCTTTCTTTTCCTCCCTCCCTTCCTTCTTTCCTTCCTTCCTTCCTTCCTTCCTTCCTTCCTTCCTTCCTTCCTCCCTTTATTATTTCAGATATATACATTCTGATAAAATGCTTTATTTTCTAGAAGGGAATTCGTAAACTTTTGCTATAAAGGCCCAGATAGTAAATATTTTCAGCTTTGCAGACTTTTATAATTACCATTGCAACTATTCAGCTCTGCCACTGTATTCTGAAAGTAGTTCTAGACAACAGTAAATGAATGTGCATGACTGTGTTCCAGTAAAACTTTATTTACAATAGGCAGCAAATTTAGATTTCATCTGAAGTTTGCAGTTTTCCAATCCTTTTTCTAGAAGGCGATCTATTATACACAATTACCCCAAGGTGAGTTTTTTCCATGAGCAGCAGGAGTATGAATAATATTTTCTGGTGCAATATTCAAAGTATGGGCTGATTTATTATATATTTTATATATAATATATGTAATATGTTAAATATTTTCAATATTCAAATATGGGATGAATTATTTATAAATAGTATGTTTTTAGGTACTGTGTTTTGTGTTTCATGTATACAATCTTTCCTAATCCTGAGGACAACACCTTAAATTTGGTATAATTATCCCTATTTTATAGAGATGAAGCAGTGTTAAAAAAAATTTGGACGAGTATGTATAGCTTTAAAGAGTCAATGTTGGAATTTAAAATCTTTGCCTTTTCCAAATATTTGTGCATGTGTATATGTATAGAATCTCTATGTAATGAAAAGAGAGTATACCTCAAAGAACTCGTAACAGGCCGGGCACGGTGGCTCACGCCTGTAATCCCAACACTTTGGGAGGCCGAGGCGGGCAGATCATGAGGTCAGGAGATGGAGACCATCCTGGCTAACACGGTGAAACCCCGTGTCTACTAAAAATACAAAAAAAAAAAAAAAAAAAAAAAAAAAAAAAACTCATAACAGTGAGAATATAGGCAAGCAGGAAATAAAATACAACATAATGGGAGAATTACTTTACCTTGATTTCAAACGCTCTGTGATATTCCCTCTTAAGAAGGATTTATTTATTACCATCTCAGTTCCCCTTTCTTCAAAACATACCTGGAATTCAAGAAAATATCAAATACCAGGGTTTCTTCAAAAATTATGTATTTATGTTTAGTTGATGAATGATAACTGTCCATATTTATGTGGCACAATGTGATATTTGGATATATGTTATATATTGCAGAAAGATTCAATAGAGCTTGAATGAGCTATGAATTAACATATTCATCAGCTCATCAACGTATTGTGTTTTAATGGAGAGAATGTTAACCATTTTTAACTGAGGACAGTGCCCCCACCAGGGAAGCATTTGGAAGGGTGTGGTGCTTTGGGCTGTAGCAGTGGCTGAGTGTGGTGATGACACTGGCTAGACATTTTGCACGAAGTCATGGGAGCTAAAAATCCTTCAATAAGAGGGACAGTGGCAGCCAATGAAGGGTTGTCTTACCCATAATTCTAGAAGTCTGCTACGCTTCTGTGCTCATTTAAAACATTAGAAAACGACAACAAAAACCAGAGTTGTTAGTTTGTGGTAGCTCTTGTTGATTACCTACTTAACAGCCACGTTTTGCTTCTTCCTTGCTAACATTTTTTTATCTTATTCAGGTAGCAGTTAGATGTCAGTGATCTCAGGAATACTGACCCCTCCCAAGCTGCTGAGGATGTTTTTTGTTTTTTCTTTACTTTTAATCTAATCACAGCTACTCCCACTCCATTCTGCCAGTGATTAG
Source organism: Homo sapiens (assembly GCF_000001405.40). Lineage (NCBI taxonomy): Eukaryota > Metazoa > Chordata > Mammalia > Primates > Hominidae > Homo > Homo sapiens. The sequence goes on from NC_000005.10 coordinate 165,256,526, forward strand.
GATTAGACAAGAGCATCTAATTCTGTGTTGGGCTAATAGATATAAAAGAAAGCCTAGTTAACAGCTTCTTAGAAAACTTTCCCTCCTTGATAAAAAGAGAAAGTTGCACAGGAAAACATTTCTTCCTACTTTCTTTTTTCTGATTTGGGCATTATATGAGAATTTCATGTTAGGAATTGCTGCAGTAGTTTTCAACTGTGAGAGAAAAGCCAAAAGAATCTCAGTGAAACCAAACCAGTATCTGACATTATTGAGGCCCTGAATTAATCCCAGGATGGCCCGTCCTTGTGTGTCTATTATATATGAAAATATCCCTACATCGTAGGATGTTTTCAGTTAAGCATTATTTTAGTTTCATCCGAAGATATTTGAACTGCCACATAGGAGCTGTAATTTCTATTCACCCAGGGTCAGAAAGGTAGACACCAGGAGCAGGGCCCAGATAAATATTTTTCATCTTCGACTCACAAAATGTTGACTATGACTTGGGAATACCTCTGAGTACCCACATTCAAGTCAAAGCAAAATGCATATCTATTAACACAATTTGGAAGGAAAAATTATTTAATCTCAAAATGATTTGATAACTTTGTGACTAGGAAAACATAAAGTATCAAATGCATTACGTTACTTGCTTTAGAAAACAACATCCTGACGTGAAGTAAACTGTTCTTCTCAGGGCTTAAATTAGTACAAGTTATTCTTTCTGTAACTTTTTAGAAATCTCTGAAGGAAAATAGTAAGAAACAATAACTACTCTTTCTAAAAGATCTGCTAACTCTTACTCAAATGAAAATAATTGAGATTACTAAAATACAAATTTTATAGAGACTAATGTGGAAATGAGACAATCAGTAATTGGAAGGCTTATAAATTTAGGTGCATGGAACCACCTGTGGGCAAGAAGGTAGAGGGAGGAGAATGGGGATATCATTGGTCAGAAAGAGATTAAAAAGGAAATTTGATTATAACTTAAAATCATTCTGTCCCTTGCATTCCCACTAAAATGAATATGCTTTCTTTTTTTGTTTGTTTTGTTTTGTTTTGTTTTGTTTGTTTGTTCATTTGAGACAGAGTTTCACTCTTGTTGCCCAGGCTGGAGTGCAGTGGTACGGCTCACTGCAACCTCTACCTCCTGGGTTCAAGCAGTTCTCCTGTCTCAGCCTCCCAAGTAGCTGGGATTACAGGCGCCAGCCATCATGCCTGGCTAAATTTTGTATTTTTAGTAGAGATGGGGTTTCACCATGTTGGCCAGGCTGGTCTCAAACTCCTGACCTCGTGACCTACCTGCCTCGGCCTCCCAAAGTGCTAGGATTGCAGGCATGAGCCACCACACCCAGCCAAATATGCTTCTTTAAATAGGATTAAATTGTAATATGTTGATACTTTTAATCTATTTATGTGTTCCATAGGTTATATCTATGGATATGTGTTGAATATATGGAAGGAAAGTTTTTTAAAAGTTCATATTAAACTCATTAGTCCAATAGAGGAAAGCTGGTAAAGTTTGGGGGAAAATATAAATTGGGCTAGGTTGTTTTTGGAGCTCTTCAATGCCTCATTTCTATTACTAAATCAAGTTTGAAATGTATCTGAATTGTAATAGTCTTCTTTTGTCTTTTTTGAATGTCAGTCCTTTTGGTGGTATATGGCATCACATGCATGCTTAATGCTATTAGAGCTTTTTTTGGACATTTGGGTGTGGGAGGGACAATAAGCATTTGCAATAGAATCTTTGTCTCCGTGACTTTTCCAGAGCCATCTGGATTCCTGCATATTCTCTACATGTCAATTCGGAAGGAGAATTAGATAATAAGTAGATAAAAGGATGTAAACATGCAAAGGAAAAGGAAGCACTCTCTTGTTCAACTCCCCCAGTAGAGCTGCTTTCTGATTAAAGCGCTAATATATGGCAATGGGCCTGTGAAGTCCATGCAGAGGCATGAGAGAGCTTGGCATCATCAAACGAGCGTATCAGTTCTGCCTCCTTCTGTCAGCAGTAACTGAGCAATCCAGCCTGGTGATTGGAAGAGCAAATTTTCTTTGTCCTGCACATGCTGTATTTATCCTTCATGAATATCCACAAAACTCAGCAGGGATTTGGCTAGGAGAGTAGGATCACTCCTTGCAGAAAAACTGGTAATAAATCTGGAGGCTTTGTACAAGATCTGAAAGCTGCCTTCACAATTTGCCGGAGGAGGCATGTATAGCCAGGAGTTAAGGAGATTATGTAAACCAAGGAGGAGAATGGGGGGAACTTGGCAAGACAAGACCTAAGTCAGAATGCTCTCTGCATATTCTCTTAGCAAGAGGGAATTAGAGGTTCAGAGTGTTGTCTGGGTGTATAACTTTTTCCTTCTATCACTGGAAGTCAGATAGGTGGTTTGCATGCTCTTTGTTTTCCCTTGAAACATAGAAATGTAAAGGAGATGCTTTATCTCTAATTTGGACAGTGTGGTTTAAAGGCCAGTTTCTATTTTGCACATTTACCTTAAGTATTGCTCCATGATCTTTATTTACAGTGTCCTCTATTCACTCTTGTTTGTTGTTGTTGTTGTTGTTATTGTTTAATTCTTCTCTTTCTCCCAATACTTTTGAAAATATGCTTTGGACAGCGATTCTGGAAATGAGATTTCAGAGTGTGTTCACAGGAACATCTACATTTGTATCACTCAAAATGCTTATTTTATAATGTTAGAAGCCTGGCCACCACTCTCTTCCCCCCATCTACAGAGAATTTGAATCTTGTCTTGTGGAGCTCATAGACCTGCTGTTTTAAGGAATTTTCTGGTGATCCCAATACAGAGTAACACTTGGCACCACTGTTTTGGGAAGTTAGTGGAAAGAAAGACTGAGAAAGAGAAAACAAGGTGACTAGAGCTGGGAATATAAACAAACCAGGTGACCTTTTATTCCACCTGGCTTTGGCATAGCTTGAATATCACCAAATACACACCATGTTTGCTCTAGAAAGTCATTTTACCCACAATATATGTTCATGAGCATTTTTCTTAACAAATTTTATTTTCATAAATAAGAATGAAAAGTTTATAAATTTAATGTGGCTGAGTCTGAGAAACAGAACATGAAATCTCGTGGGGAACATCTTTCTGTATAACCTTACAAAGAGAATCATTGTTTTCTGTTTACTTCCCTCTTTATGAAACGCCTCTTCTAATATTGCATTCTTGTAAAGCATAGATCAAGAAACCAAACCATGCCCTCAGGGAGGGAGGAAAGCTGTTCTTTCCTCCAAGATGTTCTCAAATAAAATATATTAATATAATAATTATGAAGGTGCTTTGAAAAGGAGAAATACATCAGGGAGTTTTTGGTGGGTAGACCTCGATCACCTTCAAGTTATTTGAAGGAATATTTACTAGTAACTGTAGTGTTTACTCTCAAGCATGCATTTCTTTCAGGTACTACATTGCATTTCTTACCAAGAACTACATCAATTTCATCAGACTTTTTATCTCTTCTGAGGAAACATGATTTTCAGCTATAACGAACACAGAAACGTATACAATAGCCCAGGAGTAAGATTTTTGGCAAATTAAAGTTCCTCCAATTCATTTTGGGGGTAAAAATATTAAAATTTTCAGATTCCCAGTATAGATGTGGACTTTATTATGCCAGAAATGGGGCTTACTCCGAAATTCCATTATTCATTCATAAAGACAACTCTGATTTTTCTTTTGGAGAGTGTCTAGTATAGCAATGTTTCAGATTGAAAATGATAGAGGAAATATATTATTAGATTAATTAGATAATTAGCAAAATTCACAGCTGCACCCTTTGACAACACATTCAGCAACTCTCTGTTAATGAGGCGACCATAAACTTTCCAAAAAATGAAATTTACAGAAACATTTATTTATCTGATATTTATTGTTAAAGCTGATAAAAACAGCCTTATTTTCTAAGAAACTAAGCAGTTGTAGATGGTAAACAAGGGCCTGTTTTCATAGTTTTGATTTTGTATTTTTTTTATTCAAAAGCATGCACAAAAATGTATTGTATATTTCTACTTTTATATCCACATCTATAGTTCAGTTGTAAGATGTTTATTACTGGCTTTCATAATTGAACCACTAATGAGGTGCTAGAATTGTAACCATGTGTCTCCATCAGGCAAAATACAAATCTAAAATCTTGCTACTTTCAAAGGAAGTAGTTATTTCTTTTTTTTTTTTTTTTCTTTATTAGGCCATACAAGTTTAGTTTCTAAGAGGGTAGATATTATTTTCAGGCATTTAAGTGTTCTTTCAAATATCTTCCTAATAAGGAAGTGAATATTTTCTCCTGTTGTCAAAAAGTGCAGCTGTGAGTTTTTCTAATTGCTCAATTAATCTAATGATACACTTTCCCTATCATTATCAAACTAATAAGTTTCAGTGCCCGAGTTGCATTCTTTACTGGAGCTATCTTGTTTGTTTTTGATAATACTGACTTGTAAAATCGTCTACATGCTTATTATAATTTGTTAATATAAGATCCATATTTCCCATTATGAATGGATTGGCTTTTGAACCTGGAAAAATGTTGCTTTATGGAAAACATCTCATCCAACTAACTTTAGCAATTTCACCTTTCTTTGAATTTCAGATATCACTTTCCTGAAATTACATAATGTCTAAAGGGAATTAAAAAATAAATCTAAAATAAATGTTATCACGATAAGAAAGGACAATAAGCAAAAGAACAAATGGACATAAACAATCTTTCTGCTAATTTTATTTTCTGCTAATATTTTATTCTGAATGTTCTTACTTATTTTTAACATCAAATAAATTGCATTAGAAAATAAATTGCTCTGGGTTATCCTAATTGATTTTCAGTACTGTTTTCTCTTTTCTTTCTCTGAGTTTTCAGAGGAAACTTGGAATATAGGTATCCCTGTTGGACTGACAAACTTCTGCAAAAGTGGAATTATTACATAAATGTCTTTCAATATTCTCATATATTAGCTTCTATTCCAAATCTCTGTAGCTTCGCCACTTCTTCAAATTCTAGTCGGGTTCAAGGATTGCTTCTCTGCTCTCTTGCACGTAGATTGTTCATGTGATCATCATAGTCCTCTTCACTGACACCAAATCCAACCTTAATTAAGTGCCCACTACAAGCATGGGCTCTTGGCATTCTTTGCTTCTTGAACTGTCCTGTTGACCTTTGAGGGTAAGCATTATGGTTGTTTGCCTTTTACAGGGAAGAAAACTAAGAATTGAGATTTAAAACCCTGAAAGAACACAGAGTTAGTAAATAGTGGAACCTAGATGCCAGCCTAATCCTGTTCCAAATCCCCTGTAGTTCATCTTTCTTCTGTATTTCTAAGGTTCCTGTCGGATTTGTTACCCACGCCGTTGAATTTGTGACTAATTTAACTTGCTCTGTAATATGAACCTCGACTCTCTGTCTCTTAATCCTAGGGAACTCTAAGTCTAATTAAAGTACAGGTTTTGATCGGCTTGTTGACTTCCCTTTAAAATTTGTTCAGAGTTCCTTTCTTGGTTCCTGGCACATTATTACAATTTAGTAAGTTTGATCTTTATTCTAGTTACAAAGATGGTTCTATCAATATTTTTTTGAAGGTCCCACGTCCTTTCTCTTTTACCTGAATTTTTTTTTAAGTTTTTGAATAACATGCTTGATTTCTAGGATTAGGGAGTTTGAGTATAGAAAAAATAATACTTAGGCTTGCCATGTCATTACAGTGGCACATTGATCAATACGAAATGTCCAAAATAGCTAATTTTCAAATAAACACTCTGTACATTTTTATCATCGTTTTTAAAAATAAAATTTTAAATGTAAAAAACGTTTAAAACACTTTACTGCCAATTTCTTCTGATATTAGAGTTCGTAGTTAACAGACCCTCAATTTTTGCTGTTTTCTGCTTTGCTTTAACATTGAAAATTACATGAATAGAATGAAAACTTTGCTAAAGATATTCTTTTTGCTTGCCTCCTTAAATAATTTTGTAATCTTTCATGTATATACCTTTCTTATTATTTGTTTTTAATCCCCAAATGTACCTAGAAGAGTAAATGATTTTTAAGATTAATTCATTATTTTTATATGTATGTAAATTTATATAAGTTAAATACTTGAAGCAGATCGAGTAGGATACACTTTAAACACACAGAAAAAAAAAAACTAAAATTTGAATCCTTGCTTCATGTCAATGTTTGCGCAAAGTGTCTGCAGAACAAAGGGAATATCCAGTTGACCAATGTATCAGTTGCAGTTCTGGAAGTCCTAATTCGACTGCAGCATGTTGCACAGCCATTTAGAGTACTGTACTTGATAGGATGATATACCTTTGGTCTCTGACCTCAATTGTCAACAAAACTATTCTGCTATATTAAGGAACCATTGTTTGAAGAGAGAAATGAAAGCTAACTCAGCCAAGAAAAATTAAAACTAAATGCTTATGCATGACCTGTAGAAGCTTATAAAAGTATCTCACTCATTCAGCTGCTTCGGATGACATGATAGTTAAAAGCCCATCAACCTGAACTTGAAGTTATGTCTTGACCACTGTCAGTATTTTGAAGAGGATATTATTCACATGCCATTCAAGACCTAAACATGTTTTTATCATCACTGCCAAGAAAGTCATAAATAACAAATGTCATGTGTCAAATTCTTGGTTTATTTTAGAAGAATAGCAATAGCTAAAAAAAAAAAAAAAAAAAAAAAGACTATAACACAATCTAGTCTAGCTGAATTAGGAGTTTTGGACTTGGCCTGACTTTATGGGCTAGGTACCTCAGGCGATATAAAAAAATTCCTATGGCTCAGTTTCTCCAACTGAAAAATGAAGGCTTTGGGCCAAATAATATTTCAAGTCTCTCAAGCTTTAAAATTCTATCATTTTTTTACTTGAAGCTTTAGCTGATGTGTTTGTGAAAACTATTCAAAAAGTTATCTCTGTCCTCCAAAATGAGGATTTTTTTTTTTTCTAAACACAGATAGCAGACATGGCCATGCAAAGCTTCCCTTCTTCATATTATCTTTTAATACAAGAAGTATTATCTCAAAAAAGCACCCCTCTGCATTCTACATATTTGTTTTGTAGCTCATGCTCTTGTTCTTATTCAGCAAAGTAAACAAACATTCTGGTGGGGTTAAGGATTAATGGCAAGGAATTGCATGACTGTACAGCGTGTAACCTTGAGGGAAGAGATCAAGGGAAATGTCAGTCAAACACCTGCCCTTAGTGCAGTTGCTAATTAATTCGTGAACATTGACTCGGGTTGCAGATTTGCTAGTGTACAAGGGAATGAAGTCCCATCCTAGAAATACTGCCTTGATTTAATGAGGCTTTAATAGGATTAAATGGTTTTAACTTTATGACTTCATGTTTTTGATTATGGTTGTGTAGTGCTTCTCAATGTAGATAGATATGAATTTCACTGAGTTTTAACAGTGGACTCTAAATGAAAGGTATGGGGAATAAAAGTGGGCAGAATGTGTCGTTAGCTCAGTGACTTAATTTTCTGAAATTTTAAAGTAAAATTAAAGGTTAAAATGGTCTCAGGCTACCTAGAAGTAAACATGATTAGTTACTCAGGGTCTCCCTCTAAATTAATTACCATCTATTTAAATAGATGGCCCTCTATCACTCTGAATCTGAGCTATTTTGTCATACCAAGGTCTTGAATTTATGCAGAGCTTAATTCTAAGTCATTTAAAAATTATATTTATCTTGTATATTTGAAGATGACATACTGATGGTAACTTTTGTCATTCTATAAATATTTTGATGTAAAATAAGACTATCATTTGAATAGGTTATTGGCTGCTACAGATTTCTCTTATTAAAATTTCACTCTGAATCCTCAGAAAAACTGAAAAACGATTCTGTTGTGCTGCCATTTTAGGTGTTGAAATAATATTGCAATATAATCTAACCAGTAAGACTTCAAGCTCAGCTCAGGCATCATCATTATTATTATTATTTTAGTAAAGGTTACTGGAAACCTAGTTAAAAATATGCACACACATGTACTGAGATATGTACTGTCTGTGTAGGAATAAAATGTTTAAATTCATAACTACTGCGAAACAGGGTAATTGTATAATTCCAATCATATCACTATAAAACAATTCAAACACTTCCTATTTACCTTAGAATGAAGACTCAAATTCTTAAATATGGCCTAGATTCTTGATCCATCTCATCTTTTTAACCCACACTGTGGGCTTTATAGTTACTGCAATAAGTAAGACAAAATCCTTGCTCTTATAGACAAAACTTACAGCATAAAAAGGAAGGCAAGAGCAAAATACTAAAAAAAATAAGATAATCTCCCATAGTGATAGATGTCATAAAGGAAATAGCACTGGTTACTTAATAGAGAGGATGACTAAAGCAGGAAGGATCAGCTTAGATTTGGGCCAGCAAACGCTTCTTCCAGTAGCTGCTCCTTGAGATGAGAACTGACAACCAAAGGAAGCTAGCCTTGCAAAGGAGTCAAGTTCCAGACAGGGAGAGCAGTTAATGCATTATTCTCCAAGGAAGGAACAGGCTTGACAGTTTCAACGGATTGATTGGAGAATGGTCAGGAAAGAGGATAGAGGCATGCTGCAAGTCAATTAAGGGCAGATTAGGTCATATGTTTCCAACGTATTGAGATGGAATTGCATCCTATAATTCCATTTCTTTGCCCTGCTTTCAGTTCCTTCAGTGAACCATGTTTGCCTCAGGTCCACAAGCCTTATGGCTGTTTTTCCTCATGATTATACTCTTCGCTTCTAACAGAATGCCTAGCCCATGGTAAGTGTTTAATAAATACATCAAAGGAAAGCAAGGTTTATTTTATAGGCCAGGCGTGGTGGCTCATGCCTGTAACCCCAGCGCTTTGGGAGGCCAAGGCGGAAGGATACCTTGAGCCCAGGCTTTCAAGACCAGCCTGGGCAACATAGTGAAACCCTGTCTCTACAATAAATAAATAAATAAATAAAAATTAGCTCTTTGTAGCAGCATGCGTCTGTAGTCCCAGCTACTCAGGAGGCTGAGGTAAGAGGATCACCTGAGCCTGGGAGGTTGAGACTGCAGTAAGCCATGATCTCGCGACTGCACTTCAGTCTGGGTGACAGAGCGAGACTTGTCTAAAAAAAACAAAAAACAAAAAACAAACAAAAAAAAGCACACACACTAAATCATATCCGTATTGATCAATGAATGACAAGAGTTATCATACTTCTCACCCTCTTCTGTGATACATGCTTTTGACTGGTTCCCAAATATAATCCCCAGTCTCTCTTTCTGTTGCCTGCTTTTCACCTATGAGCTTGTAAATGCAAGATACTCACTTTACCAGCCTTTCCTTCAGTTTGAGCATGGTCAGGAGTACCCGTTCAGATTAAGTCAACTAGAAATCAGGCAAGAACTAGTGTCCTTCTTGATAAAAGACGTATACTTGCATTGTCCTGGCTACTCTTGTGCTTCCTACCTTTGAACATGGCTGTGAGAATATTCATCTGGAGTTGGGGCAGGCATCTTGCTACCATAGGAAAGAACAAAAGCAAAAACAGAATTCCAGAGCTGCTAATCCTGTACTCTGACATTGTAAAGCTGCTGAACCAACCCATGACAATGCCCACCATCAGACTTCCAGTTAAGCAGACAATAAACGCTGAAACCACTGATAACCGAGGTTTCTGTAACTTACTGCACAATTGTATTTCCCGATCTTTTTGCTCTAGACACATTTTTCCAAGGACTTATCTCACAGAGAAATCAGACTAGAACTATGAAATGAGTTCCTTACAAAAACTCTTAGCTCTCTAGTTCAATATCAAAGTCTGTAGCTACAGAAAGCAAGTTTGTTATACAGTATTTTTCCTGATACAGGTCATTTGTCCTTGAAATTCTGCATTTCTACATGGTTTCCTCTGCCCAATCCTCTTTCCCCTTACAGCTTTTACATGCATAAGGAGAGGTGTGACTTCTGTGGTGGGTCGTTTCTTTTTCTTGCTGCATGGTAGTTAATTAGGTAACTAGTTTATTTGTATATTCAGTGTAGGACAATTTGCTTCTTTAAACAGAAAAGGTCTCCTTATTTTTCCCAAATAAAGAAAAAGTATTTACCATTTTCTCGAATAAGGAGAAAGTATTGATCATTTTTTTTAATTTTTTCTTTCAGTTTTGTTTTTTATTTTTTCTTGAGATGGAGTCTCACTCTCTTGCCCAGGCTGGAGTGCAGTGGTGCAATCTCGGCTCACTGCAACCTCTCTCTCCTGGGTTCAAGTGATTCTCCTGCCTCAGCCTCCCGAGTATCTGGGATTACAGGCATGTGCCACCATGCCTGGCTAATTTTTGTATTTTTAGTAGAGACAGGGTTTCACCATGTGAGCCAGATTGGTCTCAAACTCCTGACCTCACGTGATCCACCTGCCTTGGCCTCCCAAAGTGTTGGGATTACAGACGTGAGCCACCACGCCTGGCCTTCTCTCGTATTTTTCATAATTTATCTTCAGCTAAATTTGCCTATTCATATTTTAATATGTAGCTTCATTTCCATAGACTGTCAGGATAATGTGGAAAAATTAAAATCTGTTTGAGTTGCATGTTTATAGGTGCCTTTTACAACTTTCTAATCCCTTCCAGAATCTAATCTAACTGTACTCTGACTCAAGCACGACTTGGAGGATTAACACTTGTCTAGTTTAGGACTTGACTTTACAATATTATCTTCCATCCCCTACCAATTCAACACCCTTTCCCATTGTCATTAATTTCCAGGTTCTAGTAGTTATGTTTATTAATAACAATGCTGAGAAAACATCCTTATGTTTATTTCTTGAGTTATGCCCTTCACATTTTATCCTTTTTGTAAGCTGCTGTTGGTCATTTCTGTGACTCCACAGTGAGTCTTACAAACTGTATCTGTGTGTGTTACTGTGTGTGCTTTCTTATTAAAGTGCTTGCCACATTGTTTTACTCTTGTTTCTCTTTGTCTCCTTCACAAGAACAGGTGTGTTTTGAGAGCAGGGATCTTATTATGTTCTTCATAGTGTCTTCAATTTCTAGAACAGAGACTGGCACAGAGCAAGAGAATAATACATGTTTTGGGAATCATTGAATGCATGAATGAATGAATGAGTATATAAACATTGCTTCCCACATCTCATCCATATAGTGACTTGATATTTCTGTGTAATTGGGATTCACCAGTCAAGTGTGTAAAATCACGAAGGAACCTCTGGCATAGTTCATGATACTTTTTAATGTCATCTAACTGTTTTGTACCTCAGTTTCCACATAAAAAGTGACAAATATTGTTCTTGGTAAAATCAAAACTGAATTTGCATGATGAGAACAATATGCTTACACAAACCATGATGTAATCAAGTAACTCTAGCTGTGTGTGGTCACAAATGCTGTTGATGGATGGTAGATGAACTCTAGGATCTTTTTTTAGAAGACATATTGTAGCAGATTTTCTTTGGGAGATTCATGGAATAAAGATTTGACTAAGGTTTAGGAATCACAATTACTATATAACTTATTTTCTTTTTAATCTATTCCTCCCTTTTCAGTTGTGCTGGTAGAAAATAAGTAGGACACATCAAAATTAAAACTAATGAGACTCTTCTCTCAAAGCAATTCTTCATTAGCGCATAAAAACAAAACTCTAAGAAGAAAGGTTACCATGTAGAGAGGCTGCAAATAGAAGGCTTCAAGGTGTGTTGTGAGGGGCCTAGTTCTCTCCACTCTGGAGCACATCTCCTTCCCCTTTTAAAAGTTCACCAAAATAAATACAGTTTAGAGAGCCTCACCCTTTCCAGATAGTATTATGAGATAGATAGAGTAGCCCATGGGCACAGAGAAAACATGAGTTCCCAAACCAAAATAACCAGGCATCTAAAAAGTACAAAGAGGTGAGAGAAGATATCAAAGCGAACAATGTAAGATACATAATTATTAAAATGGATGACTGAGAATTATTAAAATGGATGACTGAGAATATATAAAAAGGATAAAGATAGATAATATGAAACAAGAAAAATGCACTATAAAAGGAATCTGAGAAATATAATAATTATAATGAAAAATACAATTCTTGACCTATCTAGCTGAAGGGACACAACTAAGAAATGAATTAGTATCTCGAAGGATCAAATTGAGGAACTTTTCCAGAAAGCAATAGTTTAGGACAAAGAGATTAGTTTGAAATAAGCAGACATACTGTACATACAAATAGATTAATCTCCACAAATAAAATATTTGGTCTCTCAGATTATATATATATATATGTACATCTCCTAACAACATATATGCAGAGACATATTTAAAACAAAAGGATACAGAAAAAGTGGACAAAGATATGCTAAGTATATAGCCATGGAAAACAGTAACACTCTCACATGACAGAATATGATTTAAGAAAAGTAATTCAAATGGCCAACGAAGGATATATTCTGGTTAAAAGGCTAAAAGAATTATACGCTATCATCAGTATGAACTTGTATGCGTCCAGCAATATTGCCTCAAAATATGTAGATCTTCAACTGTCAGAACTGAAGAGAAATATACATAAACCTATAATTGTAGTTCAAGATTTTAACATGTTACAAAACTAATAGATAAAACAAAATAGATATATTAGATATCTGAACAATAATACAATTTAAATATTTTATTATATATTTGTGTAAGAGTGGATACATAAGTAGATATTTAAGATTTGAAATATATGTGTGTGTGTGCAGGGACCGAAAGACATCTGTACTCAAAATACAAAGAATATGTTCTTTTTGAACACACATGCACCATTCACAAAATAGAGCATATATTAGACCATAAAGATTACGTGATAACTAGGATTTATGCAGTCCTAGAACCACTGAGTCACCATCATTCTAAAACTATATGGTACATTCTCTTTTACACAATGAAACGGTCTTAGCATACAATGATATCGGGAAAATTAAAATGTCTTGACAAAGAAAGTATTGTTGTAGAAGAGAGGGCATTGACTATCCTAATACCCTAGACATAAATATTATAAAGTTGTTTCCTATCATTTTTCATTCTTGTCTGGTACTCAAATTTTATGCTATTTTCTAAATAAAGCATGTTGCTTAAATAATACCTATCACTTATGAAGCATTACTTATGTGGTACATATAGTCTTAACAGTTATATTTTCACTATCTCAGTAAAACTCCATGCAATAAATAGTATTATGCCAATTTAATGAATGAAGAAATTGGGGCATCAAGATATTAAACAACCTTTCAGCAATTACACAGAGCTGGAATGTGAACCAGGACGGCTTGGTTCCAAATGCTGGGAATTCCCCCAGAGACCAGCAGTGTTACTTGAGAATAGGGCTAAGTTCATAAGAAGTATCCAGCAAGTGCATATTTAATTGAATTAAATTCCCTTAACTGTAATGAAATTTTGATCACAAAAAGCAAAGGTTAAATATTAGTTTCGCTAATATTTATACAAAATAATTTAAAATAGAGCAAAATATATCTCAGTGCCAGCCTCCATGCAGCACTGTGCAGAATCACTATCCTAGCAAGGAGCTACATATATCCTTACAATGCACTGTTTCATGAGTGCCTGTGGTAATTACAGCCATAAGATCTGAGTAAATCAATTCCTTAATGTAGCAATGGCATTGCAAGGGTAGTAATGGTAATATTAATAACAATAACCATAATCCTTTGAAAGTTTAGAAACATGAAATCTTATAGAGACTATGCAGCTATTTGCTAAATGTATTTTTTAAAGGGGAAATAATTTACTTTTATTGGCTTTGACCCAACAAAATATTAATATCTTTACATCATTTTTATCTTGCTAATAAAGAAGTTCAGAATTTTTAACATATTCTTCCTAGGCAATGCTCCAAATCTCGCCCTCTATTTGGTATTACAGTATCAGTAATTGGTGTCTCATGTTAACATTTATTTAAAGCTGCTGATTTAACATTTAAAAATTCTGGGGTTAATGGATCTGTATTCACAGATCCATTCACTTCAATAAAAACAAATGGAACCTCTTGTGAACTAAAATCACTTCAGATCATGGATATGCTCTCTCTAATATGCACAACATTTAGATGGTCCCGCTAAAATGTCAGGTCATAAAAAAGGTCTGCTAACATGGTAATATTCAAGGTGATTTTCTGGCTTTTGCCAATGGTATTGTCCCGTGCAATAGAAACACAGCTTCTCTAAAAGGTGTGGTCCATACAAGAACTAGTTCCGACAAAATGTACTTTCTGAGCTCGCTAATGGATTCTTACGGCATTCTGGAGTTGCCTTCTCTAAAGCTTCTGTAACTTACTAATGCCCACATGTTTCCTCCGTATTTGTTGGAGACCCCTAAATTTTAGGGACTTCAAAATCTGATCTAAGGTCTCTCTTTCAAGAAAATACAGCAAAATAACCAAAAGAAAATTTGCATATTATAGGCCCTACTGGACTTTTAACAAATATTTGAGAATGAGAGAAAAGGCACTAGAACCACTTTCATTACCTTCTAGCAGTATAGAGTTTGGGCAAACCACCTAAACTCTGTGATCTCAAGTTGCTTTGTAGTAATTTTCAAGTGTAGGAATGCTTTTGTGTGTTTTTGTTTGTCAGTGTTTTGATGTTTAAAACAATTTTTTCTAAATCAGTTTTAACATACTGGATAATTCACAAACATTAATTCTACAATTCAGAGGAAGAAATAAAATATTTCCACATCCTGAAAGTTTCCCTAATGACTCTTCCTGGTAAATACTCTACATTCTAGGGGAAATCACTATTCTACCTTCTAACATGATTGAATAAAATGATCAAAATATAGTGCTCTATATCCAGCTTCCTTCACTCATGGCTATGTCTGTGAGATTCATTCATGTTGCTCAGTGTAGCACCAGTTGTTACATTGCATGTAGTATCATTGTACAGATATACCACAATTTCTTTATCCATTCTTCTGTTAACATTTAGGCCATTTCCAATTTTAGACCAGTATAAAGGGTGCCTTTTTTAAAATGAAAGCTTTTTGTAATTTTGGTTATATCCTTTAGGAGAGAAAAATCCATAAAAACACAAAGCTACTCTGAGTAATCTTCACATCTGTAAAATTAATTTTAGTTATCTGTGGCTAAATAACAATTCCTTGAAACATAGTACTTTAAAACAACACAATTTTATTACGCGTAACAATTTTCTAGGTCAGAACTTGGTTGTGGCTATGATGGGCAGTTCTGCTTCACAAGCTCTTGGTGGGGTCACTCACTCAACTGGTTTTAGCTAGCAGCTGAGCTAGGCTGGGAGAGCCACAAAGGTCTCAACTGCATGTCAAGATTTCTCTCTTCTCTCTTTAGTGACTTTCTCACTTGGCTAACTTGGAATTTTTCACAGAGTTTTAAACTCAGGGTTATTGCATCTGCAGAACAAAAGTGGAAGCTGGCCGTGCGCGGTGGCTCACACCTGTAATCCCAGAACTTTGGGAGGCTGAGGCGGGCGGATCACGAGGTCAGGAGATTGAGACCATCCTGGCTAACACGGTGAAACCCTGTCTCTACTAAAAATACAAAAAAAAAAAAAAAAAAAAAGCCAGGCATGGTGGCAAGGGCCTGTAGTCCCAGCTACTTGTGAGGCTGAGGCAGGACAATCGCTTGAACCCAGGAAGCGGAGGTTGTAGTGAGCCGAGATCACACCACTGCACTACAGCCTAGTGAGAGAGAGAGACTCCATCTCAAAAAAAAAAAATAGTGCAAGCTGCTGGGCTTCTTAAAGTCTAAGATTGGGACTTAAATTTAAAGAGGTCTGCTTCTGCATTCTATTGCACACTGTTTCAAGGAATAAAAATATAGTCTCCATCTCTTGATGGTCAGAGCATATCACATATAAACAAGAACAATATTGATAGTGTACATATTTAAATGTATCTGGCCACAATAATTTATATCTCTCCTACATGCAAAATACCTTCACTGCCACTTTCAAAATTCTCACCCTATTAAGTCATAATCTTAAAGTTGTCTAAAGTCCACACATGGATGAGGCTTCTTGTTGCAATTCCTGAGGTGTAGCTCCTCTGGTGCAGAACCTTGGGCACAGAGGCTTATGCATTAAAAGATAAGTTATCTGCCCTCTTATATACCCAACGTATAATGGTGGGAGAGGGAAAAGATAACCATGATAGAAACTCCTGTTCAAACAGATAACGTGATCACATAGCAGTTGCTGATCCATAGCAGTCAAGAAATCAGCTGCACACATGTGTCTGTTCACTTTGCTCTGAGGCCTGGGAAAGTTCCTTGATTAGGGTGCAGCAGTTTTCTCCCTGGGAATGGTTCTATAGCAGTAGGCTATTGGTTTGCCCTCTGAGCCTTCCATCTTTTATTAAAATAAATAATGAATTGTGTTTGCAGCTGAATATCTTTTTTTAGCCTGATTCCTACTTTTGAATGGATGGGATCCTGAGGTCCTAGTGTTCTCTTTATTTTGAATTGCCTCTTTCTCTTTTAGTCTAAGTTGTTGGTGCTTTTAACAATACACTTCTCTTGAAAATATGGATCTCCTATCAATCTTCCTGAGGTTCACACCATTAGGCAAAAACCATATATACATATATGTTTGTGACAAGTGCTTCTCTCCTTTGGGCTGTAAATCAGGGTGCTGTGACATAATTCCTTTAAGATTCTTGACATCTTTTGTTTATTTGTCTAATTGAGGGAGTCTATGACATCAGTTTAAATTTTTTTCAGAGATCTTAACAAAGCATCTTACAACCACAACCTTTATTTGATCTTTACCTGAAGACTGGCTCTACCTTTTAGAAACTTCTGCTCTCTGGAAAGCTTCAGAATAAAAGAGTTTTATTTTCTAACCTAGCAAGTTCTGAGTTGGAAATAATTTGTCTAAATTTACTTGAAAACTGAACATTTACCCTCTTAGTTCATCTTTCTCTTTCAAAACCTTATTACTGGCTGCTAAAAGAAGCCAAATGACTCATTCAATTATCTATATCCATAATTTTCTATATTACACATTATTTCAAGCAGTGGTGTCATCAAAGTCTTCACTGTACATAACACAGGTGTTTTTTACCCTGAATCCTCCAATAGCACACTGCACTTCTAGCCTCCACTAACGATCTCCTCACACCTACTTCTCAGTTTCAAAGTTAGTTTAGTATGTTTTGCATGTTGTCCTAACAGCACTTCACTTGTAGACAGCCATTTCCATTTTACTTACATACAGCTATGGAACAAACCACCCAAAAGCTTTCCTAAAATTTAATGATGATTTATTTCTTTTCATGATTCTGTGGTTCAGGGAATTGGGCAGGGCTCAGTGGGATGGTTGTCCTGTTCCATGTGGTATCTTAGGTGGTCTCTCATTTGTCAGCAGCCTGACTGGGCTACAAAGTATGAGAAGACCCCTCTATGTGTAATATTCCTCATGACCTTTCCACAGGTTTTTATCACAGTATAGTGGTGTCAATAGTTGGGTTTATATGTCAGTTGACTTCCCCAGGGTGAAAGTGGAAGCTGCCAGATGTGCTTATGCTTAATCGGCACTGTGCCACTTTTACCATGCTCTATTCCTCAAGGAAAGTCTGAGGGTACGCAGAGATTCAAGAAGGGGGAAATCAATTTCACCTTTTAATGGTAGAGTGCCATACACATTCAGAGATAGAAGAAATTGACAGTGGCCACCTTTATATACTACATATCACAAAAGGATTTGCATTTTTAATCACAGTTCTTCCATTTATATGTTTATTGGGTCAACTAAATTATATTCAGCTTCTCAGTACATAATATATTTTCAGTAGTTTTTTTTTTTTTTTTTTTTTTTTTTTTTTTGTCATTGCTGTTTCCCTGCCTGCTGCAAGTCTTTTCTTCTTCTCCTTCCTCTCCACCCTTAACCAGACCATATTCTGGTCATACTACAGGAATTTCTCCAGGAATTTTTTTCTCAAAAGGCTTAATTACCCTCTTATTTATGTTCTATATCACACTATGCTTATTTTTACCAAAGTAGTTATTATAATCTAATTTATCTCTGAGCTCCCTGGGACTAGAACTATGTCTTATTTCCCACTCTGCTTTGTACTGTGATAGGTACAGAGTGTATTTACATTAAATATTTGTTGGATAAGAGGACCTGCATCATGACATATGTTTGAATAGTTGGAGAGATCTATGGGAAGAATGCATTCATTTTATACATAGTAACAATCATCATAAAGTGCACATTTACTATATGCTAGACTATACCATGTACTAAATTTTATACTGCTGGTGTGAATTAATCCTCTCAAACCTTCATTATCCTCATTTGAGATAAGAGAAAACTAAAAGTTACAAAAGACACTTGACTAATGTGCCTCAACTTTTACCTGAGAAAGCCTGGAAGAAAATCTGAATCCACCCAACTGTAAGCCCATGTTGTTCCTCATTGCTAGATTATTCTGGCTACAGAAAAATAATAGTTCACATTTTTATTTCTAGGATTTTAAAAACAACTCTTAAGTTCCCCCTAAAGGTTTCATTCCACAGATTGGAAGCATGGGCATAATTAATATTCATACTGAAGTCACCCTACTCACTTTTCATAGAGGATTTAAGACATGGCTACCATGTGTCTACAGCCTGGGCAACAATTACTAAACCCTGTAGACTGCTAAACAATAAATTTTGTTGTGGTATATTTGTGTGGATTGAGACAAGTCCACAGGAAGCTGTGCTTATCCAAAACAAGATCATGTTATTCTGCTGCTCAAAAATCCTGTAAAGGTTTGCTGAGCATTTATACCTCACTCCTATTGATGTATACCAATCATCATGTCAAGAGTCATGTCATAGTGCTCTCCAAAATATGCCAAGCTCATTTATATCACAGGGTTTTTTGCACTTGTTGCTATTTCTGGCTAATACTCTCTTCTCACACACATTGGCATCACTAATTTGTCTACTCCTTTTGATATGTGCTTAAATATCAGTTTTTCAGAGTAGTCTTCCCTGATCTCTATCTAAAATAGCTTGTTTGTTGGGCTTTATCTCTTTTGTCAAGATCAAAGGATATTTGATCTTAATTCCTCATCTTATACACTTATTTTCATATTTCTTATCTTCTTCACTATTGTATGAGCTTCATGAGGGAAAGTAATGTGTTTTTTTCTCACTATCATATATCTGCAAATATATCAATTTCTAAACTCTGTAGGTGGCTATTACATCATAGTTGAATGCATGAGTGAATAGTTGCTCATATTGTCTAAGTCACAATCATATGACAGCTCAAGCTCTTTTTTTTTTTTCGCTGAGTTAGGTTCATTACGTTATACACCTATTCCTCCTTGAGTGTATTTCTATTATTGTCCTTGACACATTGTTCTATCAGTGTTGCTTTAGTTGTCCATCTCTTCTGGAAGACTGTGAGGTCAGAGCTTTTATCTTACTCATGTGTCTACTCCCGGTATTTTGCATGTTGCATGATGTATTGTAACTACTCAATACATGTTTGCTGAATGAACATAAAATAACCTTTCTCTTCATTAAAGTAGAAGTTGTACCACTTAGTTTAGTCTACTGTTGACATAATACAAGAGTTTAACATCAAATTGGCATTTTAATTATCAAATATGCTATAATTACCTAGAAGATTGTATGTTGGGAAGATTGGCTGAAAATGACATTGTATCTTGAATGCATGTAATTTAATGAGCAAGATATGTTACTCTAATTAAATTTCTGAAGAGTTTCTACTATTTTAATGCCTAGTTTATAAACCAGAGAAAATATAGCCTTCAAATTAGAAAGCCATTTGTGAGGCACATTCACCATGCTTCAATTTCTTTTTGTTTTGTTTTGTTTGTTTGTTTGTTGTTTGTTTGAGACAGAGTTTCACTCTTCTTGCCCAGGCTGGAGTGCAATGGCATGATCTCAGCTAACTGCAACCTCTGCCTCCCGGGTTCAAGAGATTCTCCTACCTCAGCCTCCCGAGTAGCTGAGGTTACAGGCATGTACCACCATGCCCGGCTAATTTTTTGTACTTTTAGTAGAGACGGGTTTCTCTATGTTGCTCAGGCTGGTCTCGAATTCCCAACCTCAGGTGATCCACGTGCTTCAATTTAAACTAATCCCCAGCTCAGCTGAAATTTCTTGGGTGAAAGGTCAGTTAACCATTTTCATTTGAAATGACCCAATCTGTAAAATGGAGGTGATGCCTGTGATGGGTTGATGGCTAAGTCAATGTTGTTTTTTGAGTGAAATGTTCTGAGTGGTATTGTATAGCTATATACCTAAGGGTCTTTGCTGTTCTTTTCATCGTGACTTTTCATGTGACAAAGGACGAAATGAATCAGAGGTTCACATGTCGCCTCCAGCCTCCAGGCAAAATAAATTAGCTTTCAAGGAAAAATGGTAGAAATATTTAAATCTTGAAATCTTTATCTCCCTTTCCTTTGACCTAGTTTTGTCTCCTTCAGTGCAAAGATGAACATCAAGACTGATGCCAGACCCCATCTTGCCCCTTCAGCAGATTTTATGAAGCTTTCCTTAGTGTAGTTTCTTGTATTTTTTTCTTCTATTTTCCTCTCTCAAGGAAATATATGAGCTAATTTGCCTGTACCAGAATCATGTAAATTCAGATTTTTTTAACTCCCAGTAAGTTATCAGCCAATTTATTAATGTCCTTTATCTATTTAGATTTTTAACCTGAAAAATAGGAATTTTTGTGGGAAATAATTCCTGGTAATAATCTGAAAATTAATGCAAAATTAATATGTATCAAGAAAATATAGAAAATAAACAGTGAATCTGAAGACTTAATACTTAACACAGTGAATCTGAAGATTTAATACTTAACATCATTAAGATTTATGATGACGTTTAAAAATTGAAATTGTATGTCATAGTATATTTCCAGAAGAGGCTTCCAATACCAGTAATCCAGTTGCTCATGGTAAACACTCAACTGGTTTTAAGAAGTTAGAACATTTGACAATATCTAGGCTTTCAACCCTGTTTTAAAAAAATCAAATGAGCTTCGGAAGCTGCCTCTTAGCCAGCTTTAATTACTCTGAAAATAGGTGAAGACTTCAAACATCAAAGACTATTATTTTATATTGTGAGTGGCATAGGTCTATTGTCATAATGTATAGTTTGGTAAATAAGGCATAGCCAAGCTCAGAAAAAACTGAAAAAAAATATTTAAAGTATTTCTCTATTTAGCAAAATAGACATTGTCAGTTTTCTGGTGCTGTGACTTTGTTTCAACTCTACTAAGCATCAACTAGATTGGGTTCTCATGTTGGAGACTGGAATGCATCACTGTGTGAATTGAAATGCATTACTCTGTGAATTGGAATGAATTAGGCACACTCTACTGCACTTGTCTCTTGTCGTATTTCTGCTGTTCTAAAAATGGTTTCTATAAGAGTTTACTATCAGATCTAGGACAACACTTTATAAACAAAATTTAATGGAAGCTTTCATCTGTTAAATTTCATTACAACTCACATTAGCTCTTTTTTTATGCTATAAACATGCTTATTCTGTAAGTTACAGATGTATCATCCACAACTGTCTAGGTAATGCAGCAATTTACCTTAGACAGGAAAATAAAGATTTTTGCATTAAATATTTGTTACGTTCATTGCTTTTTTAATCAAGTCTGTTTTTTTTTATTCTTTTTAAAATATACTTAATTCCACATCAGAGAAAAATTTTCATTTGTTCAGGACAATAATAATTTGCAGAGCACCATAAGACCAATATTGAAGCTTAATATTTTTAAGTAGAGTTTAAATATTTGGTTTGTGGGACTGAGGAATGTTTGAAGAAATTGTTCTAAATACTTCTTCTTATAAAATATATTTCCAAAAGCAGATGTATCTTCTTGTTATGCCAAGATGGCTATATTTAGATCTGCATGTGTCTTTAATAATTCACTCTCAATTTCGAGAATTTGCCTCCTGACTTGGAGACATACAAAATTTTGTATGGTGAATAGATTGGATAATTCGGAGTTTCAAAATCATGATTCTCATTGTTCTAACTCTGTAAAAATTGAATTTAAATGCAGAAACAATAGAGGCCCAGTTTCAGCTCTTTGTATATTACGAATTCACATGCAAGTTTGCTTTAAACTTCATGACCTAAGAGAATGACACACTGAGTGTGGATGTGTGTGTCTATGGGTGTATGTGTGTCTTACAGAGGAAGGTGTTAGATCTGGCAGCACATCCTTGCAACATTTCAATATTGGCTTTAGTTTTCTTGATAATTTTGTCCAGAACTCCATAGTGCTTTTATGCTCATGGATTTTTCATTTTGCTCAAAGAAGTCATTGATCATTAAGTTCAACTCTTTTCCCAATTACTACATCATGCCAGGTGTCACGTCTTAGCAGGGGGAGGCCCCTGTGCTATTGCTTAAAATCATTGCTTGACAACAACTTATTTAACATGTAATTCAGTAAATATAGAGAGTGCACAGGAAAATTGACAATCTAATTGTTTGGAGATAGCAATGGCACAGCATTAATACACTGGTTTTTTATTAGAACACGTGGAATTTTTGTTACATTGATATCTAACAAAGGATAGATAAATAGCATCATCAATCCTATTTAAAGATGAAGAAACTACAGCTGTTTGGAATATTTTTGCTCTAAATAGAAAAATTATATTAATAATAAAGAGCCATTTTATTTAATGAAATGAGTGGATTTAGCAATATTTATATTAATAAAGCACTCAAAACTAAATTAGGAAATATACTATTTCTAATCTTTCTCTGTAATGTATATTTACTTTATTAACTGAATCCTTGCCTATAGTCTATACAAATTTGATGTTAAGTTGATGAAATCATGTAGACACCAAACTTCAAGTTATAATTCAGAGACAGTTTACCTGTGTTTGGATTCTAAGTAAAGCACTATTGTTGTACCATAATCTAAATTTTTCTATCTTTAAAACTCAAGAAACTAATGAAGTCTGGCTTCTGATGTTTTCTGAAAATAGCTGACTCTGATTAAAATAATTAAATTGTCAGTCTCTACATTGCTGAGTTCTACTGTAGCTCTGATACTTACTGTATTACTTTAAACAAATTTTTTGAATTTTTTAGGCTCTCATTTTCTCAATTTAAAAATTAAAGTAAGTCACCTTTCAGAGTTTGTATGGATACACAATAAGTTAATTTAATAAAAAGTGGCCATCACAATACCTGGAACATATAGTACCCTTCCAGTTTTATATTCATTTCCCTCTTCTCATCTTCACTTCCTTCCTATGCCATTCTTAGGATTCATTTTTTTCTCTTCTTACCTCCAACTACTCAGGCTAAGTGTAAGCTGTACTTTTGGACTGCACTGTGGATGGTGCCTTGGTCACATCGATTATTGGAATGCAGGAGTAGTGTTTGACCCTGTCCTTTACATATTCTACCTGCTTTTTTATGACTACATAGTGGAAACATGACTTCCAGGTAAAATAAAAACCTCTAATTTTCTGAGGAATTACTTTATTCTCATTGAAAGGCCTCTGCGAAGTTTTATAACAAGTATCACAAATTCATCCTCGCTCCCCTCACTCTTTAACTAACACTAGTTGTGTGAAGTATTTTGATATATTCAATCTACAGTCATTTAACCTCAACCACATCAGATACACTTAACGCTTGTTGAGCCGTCTTCCCATTCCTCATCTGTGTTACTTTTTTTGTGCTGATGTATTATCTGTATCTATACGGCACATATACAATACTTTTTATAATGAGTAATTGGATTACATATAAATTCACGTGTATGCATACAATTATATTTTCAATCATGGCATAATAACATGGACAGTTTTGTTTTTTAATGGAGGCATGTATAAGATATTATGGGAACAAAGAGGTCTGTTTGGAGAAGCAGAAGAAATCTCACCAAACAGGTAATGTTTTGCTGCATCTTGATATGAGTGATGACTGACTAAAAAGATTTTAGAAAAAGATATCCCTTTCTCTCAACAAAAATGTAAAATAAAAAGTAGAAGCAGAGGCAAGATTATAAAAGAACACCAAGTGCTTGAGAAAAAGGTGCCAATGTGTTATGGCTGTCACAGCAAGCTCACCGGTGGTTATTTACTTCAGTATGAGTTTTAATATCTTCTGCATATTTGCGAGAGAGCAATTTGAAAATCACCATGTCTTTAATATATCAAATACATTAAAATCTTAATCTTAGCAGGTAAACAAATATGAACACTTAGAGCACAAATGGCAATCCATTAAATCTCTTTTACTTGATTTATTGTAACACAGCTTACTTACTGAGATGAAGATTATGGACAAATTACTACAATTATGCCCAAACTAGGTTCAAGTAAGAAACTAAAGAGTTTCTTTAGTTTATGATTTCTTTAGTAATGGTTGTTTATTGCTCACCGTCAATACCAGTCTCTTGCTTATAGCAGAGCATGTTATCACAATGTGAAAGTAAAGGCTTATCTTACTCTGCATTTCCAATTTTTCTTTACATTCTACCAATAGCATTATAGCAATAATAATAACAATAATAATAATAACGACAATCAATACCAAGATGTGAATATTTTCATCAGTTGTTTAGTAGGCTTGGCATGTATTGCAGAGGGAATCTAATACTCCTTTTCTTAAACTGTGACAAATAAAATAGAGCTTTCATTTTCCAACAAAAAAAACATCTTTTAGATATCTCAGAGGAGAAGATCCTTTACTGTACTGTGGTATACAGGAAAGGAGAATAGTTAAAAATTCTAAATGTCTGAATGCCTGGTGTCAACAATTTGGGCCAAGTTTACAATACTTTGCAGGGCCAAGCATGAACAGATGAACAGGTTTCTCTCTGCATCTCTCTCTCTCTCTTCTCTCTCACACACACGTACACTCACATATTAATTTTTTAAAGTGTCTTATAATAACTCTTGTGATATTCCATAGTGTTGGACAGATGAGTCAATGCTTTATTAGGGAATTATGACACCCTCATAATGACAGGAGAGTTTGATAATGCTTACAGAATTTAATTCATGAAAGGGTCTTTCATTGAATCAATTTGAATACGGTTTCAAAGACCACATCTCAGAAAAGCCAGTGGAGGTTTTATGGTGTCCCAGTTAGCATTCACTGGGCATCCACTAAAGTGCAGTGTGCCTTTTGCACAGGCATGGAGGTGGGAAAGAAAATCAGATTCCTAGTCTACCTGAGAGATTCCAGCGTAGTGATTATAACATTCTGAGTTAGTGGCATAAGCAACTGTACCTTAATGTGAATCTGGATTAAAATAAATTTTGAAATTAAAGAAAAATATGAAAACATAGAAAAGCAAAGACTTGTGATTGTATACTTGATATCACACTGCACATACAACTTTATATCTTACTTATTTCACCAAATATTGTTGCCTTTGGAGAATGTTATGCTTATGATGGGGTTTCACAAAAGTTTCTAATGCGGCTGCATGCTTCATGAATCCCTAGGTCCAACGATACTCTTAACAATAAGAAAGAGGACAAATCTCAAGTTCTTGTTTGCACAGGGTAGGAAATGACAGCAAAGCCTCTCTGGTTGATGTAGAAGGCTATTTCTCCTTTAGTATGATGTTGCTGCTGCTTTCACCGGAGCTTCAAGCATTCTATCAAATTGGGGCATGAGACACTGATGGTTGTAGGATTTTTTATTATAGGAGGGTAACCTAGGATGATTAAAAACTCAGTTTCCCACTGAATCCCCTAGAGCAGGGATTGACAAGATTTTCTGTAAAGGTTCAGAGAGTAAATAATTTTGTATTTGTAGGCCAAGAGGGAAAATCAAGACTGATATGTGGTTAATTATGAATCAAGAGAGCAAATTTTCACAAATATTTTATTGATGACATTTAAAAGATGATCATTGAGTATAAGTTTCTGTAATCGAAAGAGTCTACTAATAAGAAGAATAACACTGGGATTCCTTGTAGTTCAGTTAATGTTACTTATCATCATGGTAGAAATGTGGCCTCATTCTCCCACAAAGCCTTTTCTTGCTTCTCTGAAACACAGGGATCTTCCCTTCTGGGAACTCAGCAGGAAGTCTCAAGTGCATCACTCATTTGGCGCTCCTATATTACTCTCACAGTGCTGGAGAACTTTGTTTGACAACCAGGCTACATCTGGTTAGACCCTGGGCTTGAATTTCAGCTGGAATTCAAAACCATTGGCTGTGTGGTCTTTGATTTCTTAGCTAACTTATCTGGAAGCTTTGGTGTTGTCATCTATGAAATCAGTAATAATACTGTCCAGGACTGTTTAAAGATAAAGTATGTGGATACATGCACATATTTAGAATAGTGCATGAGATGATGTAAAGTCCTAGGTAAATATGTTACTATTTTGATTTATTTTCAAAACTATTTTTAGCTTACAGGTACAAAAACAGGCTGTAGGACACCATTTGCTAATCCCTGCCCTAAAGTGGACACGGTGTGCTGGTCCACCCATATCCCTCACCTCAGCACTGGAACACCATTCTCCTGCTTGCTAGGAGTTCTGGCTCCTGCTAAGCACCCGTCTGAGAATCAGGAATTGTCTTCCTCTGAAGGAAGCTGTCTTGTTAATATCACACTTCTTCCCCGGGGGCAGCCTGCATCCAATGACTATCAAAGGAGGGTTGTAAAAGTCTTGTTCTCAAAGATGACTCTGAAGAACTATCTCAGCTCCTGAGCTCCTCCTGGGATCCTATAAGGTGTGTGTTACAACTACAAGGCAGCACAGCTTGCCCTTTGCCAGTCTTGCTTCCCTGCCCTTCACAGGTGCGATTCCTGACTACACCTCAAAGGATATCAGTCATCCACCTCCCACCATATTTTAGATTGTTTGTATCCCACAGCCTTGAGGATTATATACAGCTATGTTTAATGCTCCTCAGCCTTAAGCTGCTCTCATTATCCTTTATTATCCCTTACGTGATTTTTAGAACTTCAGAACATGATCTTGGTCAAGCATTTTGAGATGCAAAGTAAAACTGGGATACTGTGTCATTCTCACATGCTGCTCGTGTGCTAATATGATTCAGTGATTCCCCCAGAAATGTAATTGAGTGAAATATGAAATATGAGAAATATTTAAGGACTGATCATTACTGAGATTCTACATAATAACAGAATTTGTTGTTTCAAATCACAACAAAAGTGCTTCCTCTGTATTGGGGTTGCTTTATTCTAACCTCCACCCACAACCGTTTTAACTTACTCTCCATTTCAGAGTCAGAGAAAAGGCTCATTTGAGGAAAATATTTGCAGGCTGGTTTATACAGATACAAATGTGAGCTACAAAATTGTGCCACCTTCAGTTTAATGCGATATTACTGCTACTTATTTGGTGAATAACAGGGAATGGAGAGGGTATTGTGATAGATTACGATTATAAAAAGATGCAAACTACTCAGGTTTATGACCTTCTATGAATGTAATGAAATATACATTCATACATAGCAGTACTTCCAGTCTGCCATGAGTCCCCTTAGCTAATAGAAGACATAAATAGAAAACGATTTCTATGAAAATGTGCTTCTGGTGGGGTTAAATGAGACTTCTGCCTCTTGCAACACACTTTAGAACAAGTAAAAGAGTATAATACTTCATATGAATGAACAATGAATAGATGAAATTTTTTACTTCCAGAGATAGATAAGAGGCTGATAACAATAGTTAGATTCAAACAGGGGTTAAAAAAAAGAATGATTAATAGATCCATATTAGTCTGAATATTAAGCTTGACATCTTAGTGCCATCTTTACTTTTTTGCTCTGAGGCATGGAGTTAACTCCTAAAGGGCCCTTTCTTCTTCAGAGATGATTGTTGAAGAGGACTGCCTGAGCCATTGCTTGCATATAGTACGGAGAGTTATACTTCCGGAAGAATAAAGGTTAATTTAGTTTTCTATCACTGAGATGCTCATTTCTTCCCACTGAACATAACTGCCCAAATTTTCAGGATTTTCTTGGAAAGCCTGGATATTGAGTCATTACTTAAGTAATGACTTCAGCCTCAGGCTTATTTAACATACACGATCATGTCCACTCAGTGGCATTAGCGTCTCCTGGGATCTTGATAGAAATGCTAATTTTGGGGTGTTACCCCACATTTACTGAATCAGAAATTCTAAAGGTGAGGTCCAGTCATCTCGGTTATAACAAATGTTTTAGGTAATTCTCATGCCCACTAAAGTGAGAAGCACTAATGAAAAGAAAAATGAGGCTGGACAGGTGGCTCACACCTGTAATCCCAGCACTTTGGGAGGCCAAGGCGGGTGGATCAAGAGGTCAGGAGTTCAAGACCAGCCTGGTCAAAATGGTGAAACCCCATCTCTACTAGAAAAAAATACAAAATGTAGCCGTGCTTGGTGGCATGCGCCTGTAATCCCAGCTGAGGCAGGAGAATCGCTTGAACCGGGGGATGGGGCAGAGGTTGCAGTGAGCTGATATGGCGCCACTGCACTCCAGCCTGGGTGACAGAGTGAGACTCCATCTCAAAAAAAAAAAAAAAAAGAAACAAAACAAGATAAAATATAACCAAATTGTTCCAATAGAAAGGACGTTGCTTAACATGGCAAATGAACAGCCATAGAGCTTAAAAATTTTGCACGTTGAGAAATCTTTTAAAAATTAAGCTCTCCTAGGAACTTATTCTGTTAAAAAGATAGGCTTTTATGACAGCCATCTCTCCACACCTAGGCAAAAAGGGCAGATTAGAGAAATATAATAGAGTAAGACAAAGAAACCATCCCTAAGCAGAAGCTAGAGCGAGAAAAGAAAATGCAACACTTAAATCAGAAAAAAGGAAACACCTTTGGTTTCAGGCAATGTACTTCCTGAGATTTCAGAGCCCAGGCAGACTCAATAATTAAATACCGAACAATAAGTCGTAGAAGACAGTCACTGAAAAACCTTTACCATTAATACCAAAGATTCTGACTTTTAAGAAAAGTATTTCTTTATAAATCTTAGGGAATAAAGGGTCAAATTTTGAGGCCTTGTCAAATATATATATATATATATAAAAACTATTAATATCCTTAATACCTGCATTTGTAAAATCTCTGAAAGTTAAATGAACATATGTACAGGAAAGCACATTAAAATTTCATTTTTTTCCTATCACCCACTTCTCTTTTACTCTAGAAGTTTCAGATTCTCATCTTTATTCTCCCAAACTTTTTCTCAATGTCCAGATCTCAGTTTTCTCTGGTTCTCCATTATTTTGGTATATAGATTGACTTTATCCTGACCCAGAAATAAAGAATTCTTCTTTGAAAAAGAAGAGAACTTCGAACAAGCAATTATAGTATTGTTTTGGGGAAGCCAGTGTGAGAAATATATGAAACATTCCTCTGTTAAATTTTTCTATTTCCTTTCCCTTGGAGCTGCCTGGTTTAAGACTTAGGAAAGAGGATTAGGGAAAAAGGGAAATGAAAGAGAAGATGTTCTGAATTCTTCTGCTCCAGGACAGTCATTTCCTGACCCATATACACTCAGGAATTTCACCAAGGTAGACATAATCAAGATGGCTGACTAGAGACACCCAGTACTGGCCTCCTCCACAGAGAAAGACTGTAACACCAAGCAGATAACCACATGTTGAACGGAGTCTAGGGGATAACGCTAATCTAGCAGAGAAGCCACAAGGAACCTTTGAGGCACAGAAGCCCAAGATGACAGCATAGAGAGCAAAGCAGAACAGCTGGCCAGATCAGCTCTGAGCCAGGAGGGACGCCCCATTGTGGGGAAAGATGAACAAGAGATGCCTAGCAGTCCACATTCCCACCACAGATGTCTATAGTCTTAGCTACAGGAAAGTCCCTCGACCCTCACTGGCACTGAGTGTAATATAGGAAGCTTCTCAGAGTCCACACAACTGCATTGTTTTAGAGGGAATCTATGCTCAGTCCCACCAATGAGATGCAAGATGGTGTATCTCAACACCCTTTTGAGAGCTGATCCAACACCATACTACATCCTCCCTTGGGGCTCAATAGCCCTTACATCTCCACATCCCTGGGGCCCTACCAATATCCACCCACATCCATCCAGAGGGCTACAGCATCACATGCCAACTAGACCCAGCGGTATAGCCATGACACTAGCACCTGAGCCAGTGTAGCTATGCTAGATCCCAGGGAACCGCAGTCCAACACATTAGGGAGGTGCCCCAAGATATAGAGAAATAAAGGATGCACTCTTCAGGACCTAAAGACTGGCTGTCCACGGCCACCAGGACCAGCAGCAACCCCACCCCCTCCAGCAGCTGGCACACCTGTGCACCCAGCCTAGGAACACTGGGCCCAGTCCATCTGCCCAGCTGTGGACACATCCAACACATGTGCAACATGCCTAGGGGCCTGGGAAACTGCCTGTGTCTCCATCCCACCACTAACACTATTGATGCATACATATCCCACTCCAGGGCTCAGAGAGTGCAATGTCTGGTCTGCCAGTGTCTGTGTACCCTGCCCTGGGGCCCCAGGACTGGTACACCCAGACTACCACCACCACTGCTGGCACCCACATACTCCACCTGGGGCCCAAAGACTGACCCAACCAGTGAATGCCTCTGCTGCAATTAATGACAGCATCTACCAGCTAAGGGACTAAGGACTGGCCTGCTTAGTACCCCTATGCCCATCAAAGCCACATCACAGCTTTCACAAACCACCGCCACTTAGCCACTAAGAAGCTTACACACACTGCTGACACTGATGAAAGGTAGTTATATGGAATCTACACTAGAATGCCTACCCAGAACTAAAGCCAAAAGTACTCCACTTAACTGACATTATATATACATCTATTTTTCCCTACGAAAGCTAATCCATAAAATTAGAAATGACCATTACACCAAATGTGCAGATATCAATGTAAGAACAAAAGAAGCATGAAATAGCAAGGAAACATATCTCCAAAGGACTACAATAATTATCCAAAGAAAATGAATTCATGAAATGAAATGCCTGAAAACAAGTTTAAAAATGATAAGAAAACTCAGTGAGATAGAAGAGAACGTGGATAAACAATACAAGTAAATCAGGAAAAAATATTCATAATCTGAATGAGAATTTCAACAAAGTAATTCTTTTATCAATTTTATCATTTAAAAAACCCAAACAGAAATCATTAAAATGAATAATTCAATGCGTAAAGTAACAAACACATTCAAGAGCTTCAACAATAGATGTGGTCAAGCCGAGAAAAAAGAATTTCTGAATTTGAAGTCAGGTCTTTTGAAATAACCCAGTCAGACAAAACAAAAATGAAAAAAGCCTATGTGACAGAGCCTATGTGACAGAGCAAAAAAGCAAAAAGAGATATACAAATGGGATTATATCAATCTAAAAGTTTTCTGTGTAGCAAAGAAAACCATTAACAGAGTAAAGAGCCTACAAAATGGAAGAAAATATTTGCAAGCTCTTTGTCCAACAGGAGATGAATAGGCAAAACATATAAGGAACTCAAAAACAGTTAAGAAAACAATTCTATTAAAAGATGGCAAAATGATCTAAACAGACATTTATCAAAAGCATACAAATAGCCAATAGATTTGTGAAAAATGCTCAACAACTCTAATGATCTGGGAAATGCAAATCAAAACCACAATGCGATATTGTCTCACCCCAGGTAAAATGGCTATTATCAAAAAGACTAAAAATAGCAGATGCCAGCAAGGATGCAAAGTAATGGGTACTCTGGTACACTCTTGGAAATATAAATTAGTACAGCCATTTTGGAAAACAAGTATGTAGGTTCTTCCAAAAACTAAAAATAGAACCATCATATAATCCAGTCATCTCATTGCTGGGTATATGTGTGACAGAAAGAAAATTAGCTTATCAAAGAGATATTTCCACCTTCTTGTTTATTGTAGCACTGTTCACAATGGCTAAGATATGGAATCAATTTGTCTCCATCAACACATGAATAAAGAAAATGTACGTATAGACTATTATTTAGCCATAAAAAAGAATACCGTCTTGTCATTTGTGGAAACATGAATAAAACTCGAGGACAGTATGTTAAGTGAAACAAGCCAGGAATGGAAAGACAAATATTGCATGTTCTCACTTATATATGGGAGTTAAAAAGTGGATCTCATAGAGGTACGGAGTAGAATGGTGATGACTTTAGGCTGGGAAGGGTAGGAGGGTGGTAGAATAAAGAGAAGTTATTTAACAGGTACAAAAATACAGTTACAAGAATAAATTCTGGTGTTCAAAAGCATGTAGGGTGAATGTAGGTTTATTGTAAGTTTTAAAATAGCTGGAAGAAAATATTTGTAATGTTCTAAACACAAGTGATAAATATTTGAGGTAATGGATATTCCAGTTAGCCTGATTTATCATTATTTCTTCTATGCATTTTTCAAAAATCACATGTAGTCCATAAATATGTACAATTATTATAGATCAAAAATAAAATAATTTTACCAACTCTTTGGTAAGTACTGGATGTGAATTTATTCCAGAAAAAAACATCATGCTTTGTCTTTTGTTCTAAGTGTAATTGAGTTTTTTACCTGTGTAGTAAACACAATGCTGATGTTATTCCAAATGACAATAAGGCATTGCCAATCAATACTTTTGGGATGGTTTTATTAGGTTGGTGCAAAAGTAACGGCACAAACCACAATTGTTTTTGCACCAACTTTCTGAGTTAAGTAACCTATTCTGATATTGTTTTTGATAGATACCTGTACCTGATGAATCTAAAGTCATAGGTCCAAAGTTCAAATTTAGTGTTATTCTTATTTTTTCCTCACCAAATCAACATTGATTTTGGAAATTGGTAGCTGCAGACTAAGTCTGGAAATATTCACTGTTCATTCAGACAGGAAAAAGTCATTGCAAATGTGTAACTGCCATTTATGAATGTGCCCTCAGTACTGGGCCTTCAGAATGAATGTATCGAGAAAAGCTATCCTGCTTAATTTTCTTAACATTCACATGAACCAATTTTTTTATTCTTTTCATTCTATAGACTCACTTATTCATTCAATAGGTACTGATTGAGTGCCACCTATACACCAGGCACTCATCTGGGTGTGGAAAATATAAAATTAACCAAAATCCTTGTCCTCATGTTGCTTAGCATTCAGCATTTCAGCTTTATAGCCGAGAGAAATTTCACATAAATAATATGTCCATAGTCACATACTATGTAAGTGCTGTAAACAAATAATTTAAGTCTATATGACATCAAGAGTTATGCTTTTAACCATAATATTATATCCAGGACTCTGAAAGTCAATAAACCTCTGATTTATCTTACTTTCCCCCATCACAGAACATCTAGTGCTACTGAAAATAAAAATTAGTAATATACATTCATTTCTTTTTTTTCCTACATAAAATCATCTGTGAATTGCTTTTTACTCTGGGCAACCTAAATAGAACTAAGGGTAATGCAGTAGTACTGAGAAGCAGAAATGATATGATAAACACCAGTTCAGAGATAAATATATGAGGAGTAAGGAGCTTTAAAGGCTATATGCTAGTGCGCCCTAAAAATTGAGAGACAGAGAGAGAGAGAGAAAATAATACACTAAACAGATAAGCAAATTGTATGGTTTATAGCCATATAATAAGATATTCTTTGGAAGAAATTAACATAATATAAATAGTTCATGGTATCTAGTTGTTTTCAGACATCCATGAATATATTAACATTCAGGAAACGCTTATGAAACTACATAAAATGTTGTATTTTTTTCCTTCTTATGAGCCACCTATTATTTTAAATGTCTTTTAAGATGAAGAATCAGCTAAATATGATATTGTGCTTATTCTTATGTTTAATTCTAAAGCAAACATTACATATAACAGGCATTCTGGTGATAAGTTCTTAGTTGAAAGAGCATTCTTTTGGCATTATGCAAGTTGTTTATAATCTTCAATTCAATGAACATGCTGGGTTGCACTATTTCATGTAAAGAGAATAATAGATTATAAGCCTAACTATTACCATTTCATATTTTATGCTCTCCCCAGCATACTCAGAGCCTCGTTTTTCAGCATGACCTCCAGTGAGCACACATAAGTAAACAGAAGCTTAAATTTGCTTAAAAAATAAGAGCAAAAATGTTTTGAATTAAATCTTATTCAGCCAACGTGGTTAGAGATGGAAATGTGACAAGCTCTCAAGTGAACATGAAGAAGCATCTTGGAAATACTATTATCCCTAACCCATCTCATTGAGTTCACAGTGTGTAACTGCATCTGAACATGTTTAGTTGCTTTACAGGTGACAGCAACTCAACATTGATTAGAGACTGGAAGAAAGAAGAAAAATCATATCCTCTCAAATTTAACACAATTTACAAAGAAATAGTGTTCACTTAAAATATTAGAAAGGGGAAAAGTATGTTTGCTTTGTTTTTACCAGGAGCTTATAAATGTGCTTTGTATCAGAAGTGCATGCTCTATGTCTGCACAATGTCATACATTCAAATAAAATGTTGCAAATGAAATTTGAGTAGTTGTGCAGTTATGTAGACGAAGTAGAAAAACACTAGATTGGAGCTTGTCACTTCCCTATAGATATTTTGGAACTGTATAAATCAGCTTTGGCAAAACAAATGATAGTTATTTTTGTTAAAAAGGAACTATGAGTATCAGTATCAACTTCCACTCCTAGAAATGGCAAAGTAATTGATACTAAATTAGCTCTCTAGCTTTTTAAAAATAAAAGTATATGAAATAACTTTTCAGATTCTAGACAACAGACAGCACATTACTGTGGCATCTGAAAGAAGATAGAGAATGAAGGTTAGCTCTATGGTTACCCTAGCTTTCTGTAGGCATCACCTTCTAGACTGGTAAGGAACAGGAAGTGGCAATCAAAATTAAGCCTAGTGGTCTTCCTAAGCTAAGGAGAGAGAATCAGCTAGAATTTGCAGGACAAAATATCAAAGAGGAAGAGATCTGTTAAAGGAAGAAATGTCTGAAATCTACCTAGTAATTCCCTTGAGTCTGCCAATTAATACAGAGATGCACATGTACAGGGACACTCTATATAGCTGGGCAAAGAACAAAAATGAAATAGTTATTCCTGGGGGCAGGGGACAATTCCGGAGCACTGTAGGCTGAACTATCAAAGCTTGCATAGGGCTGGGAGACCTTAACGAGGAAAGCACTTTGAACACCCTACACATTCGGTAGAGACTGAGAAAGGAAATGCCTTTGAAGTAGAACTAATTTAGCATGAGAGTAATGTTACTCTAGATGCATGCTAACAAAACTGAAAAATAAGTCTTGAAAGTATCAAGCTTATACTCAAGTAAATTAACAGGCTAAAAAAACAAAACATAAACCTTCATTAAGAAATAAGACAAAAGGCAGACAATCAACAGGATAGCTTTCAATCAAAAATTCCAAGAAGCAGAAAAACTGAGGCCCATACCAGAATGAAAATCAACCAAAAGAAACACACCCAGAAGTAATAACAATAATGGAATTAGTGAACAAGGATTTTAAAATAGCTATCACCAACATGTTAAATGATTTAAAGGAAATCATAAATATTATGGGAAATCATTATCATAAATACCTGAGTACAAATAAGGGCATCAATGGAGAAATAGAAACTAAAGAAAACTGATAATTATAATTTTTCTCACTAGGGAAATTCCAAGTCTAAATGATCTTCCTCGTTAATTTCATGAACTATTTAAAGATAAAAATAATGCCAGTTTTACATAAACTCTATCATAAAGTAGAATATGGAATACATCTCAATTAATTTTAAGGTAATATATAAGCTAACAAAACCAATAAAGACGTAATACATCATGACCTGATAGTTATTCAAGGAT
The DNA here is from genome assembly GCF_000001405.40 of Homo sapiens. Classification (NCBI taxonomy): domain Eukaryota; kingdom Metazoa; phylum Chordata; class Mammalia; order Primates; family Hominidae; genus Homo; species Homo sapiens. Next base: position 165,292,374 of record NC_000005.10, read on the forward strand.
GAAATATTGGTTAATAAGAAAATCAATCGATGTAAGATGCCACAGTAGCAGACTGAAATAGGAAAATATTAAGGTTATCACAATAAATGCAGGAAAAAATTGACATGTTTTAATGCTACTTTATAATAAATATTTTTGCTAATTTGAAATAGAAGACTTCTTCAAGCTGAGAAGGTCATCTATAATTAAAAAAAAAAAAAACAAAAACCTTACAATTAATGCCAGGCTTAATGGTGTAACATTAAGCGCTTCTCATGTAAGAGAATGAACAAATCAAGAGTTTCTTATATCATTTCTGTTCATCATTTCCTTAATGGCCTTAGCCAGTGCTATAATGCAAGAAAAATAAATAAAAGATACAAATAAGGAAAAAAGTAAAACTCAATATTCACAAACAACATGTGTGTAAAATACCCTTCAGTATCAGCAAAACTACCAATAGAACTAATATGTTTGTTTAGCAAGGTTATAGGATAGAGGGCCAAAGGTAAATATTAACTACAATTCTACATAAAAGCAATAAAAAACTGAAACAAAAAATTACTATTTACAATATCATGAAAAATAAATAGAAATGAATCTAATGACATCATACAAGACTGTTGCACTGAAAACAATAAAACATAGCTGAGAGAAATTAATGGATAGCTTTACTAATCAGATTAACTATGTTCATGGATAGGAATACAAAATATTGTGTAGATGTGATTTTCCCCCCAGTTGAACTGTATATTCAGCATAATCTCAATCAAAATCTCAGAGGACTATTTTTTGTAGAAATTGACAAGCTGACTCTAAAATGTATATAGAAATTTAAAGAAAAAAGTTTGACTAAAGAATCATGAAAAAGAAGAACAAAGTTAAAGAACTTACACTTCTTTATTTCATTTATTAAGTTATGATAATTAAGTCTGCACTACTGGCATAAAGATAGATTAAATAAATGAATTTAATAAAACCAATAATCCAGAAGTATGTCTACATATTTATTGTCAATTGATTTTGAACCAAGATGCCAAAGTAATCCAATGAAAAATTGAAAGCTGCTCAACAAATGGAGCTGAGCACAACTAAATAGATATGTTGGGGTGGGGCGATGAGAGTAAACACTGACCTTTACCTCATTCCATGCAGTAAAATTAATTCAAGATTGATCATAGTCCTAGGAGTAAAACTTAAAACATATTTTATATAGCTTTTTCTTTTTTCTTTTTTTTTTTTTTCTTTTGAAACAGAGTTTCTCTCTTGTTGCCCAGGCTGGAGTGCAATGGTGCGATCTCAGCTCACTGCAACCACTGCGTCCTGGGTTCAAGCGATTCTCCTACCTCAGCCTCCAGAGTAGCTGGTATTGCAAGCGCCTGCCATCGTGCCTGGCTAACGTTTTGTATTTTTAGTAGAGGCGGAGTTTCACCATGTTAGCCAGGATGGTCTCTAACTCCTGACCTCAGGTGATCCACATGTCTCGGGCTCCCAAAGTGCTGTGATTACCGGTGTGACCCACCATGCCTGGTCTATATAGCTTTTTCTAAAAAAAAAAAAAAAAAAAAAAAAAAAAAATAGAAGAGAACATCTTCATTACCTTGGAATAGAAAGCGATTTCTTATACAAGACCCAGAAGGCACTAATTATAAAAGTAAAAGCTTAATAAAATATATATTGTCAAAATTTAAAACTTTTGCTAATCAAAAGAAAAACTAAAAAACTGAATAGATGGCCAGGCATGGTGGCTCACGCCTGTAATGCCAGCACTTTGGGAGGTCAAAGCGAGTGGATCACGAGGTCAGGAGATTGAGACCATCCTGGCCAACATGGTGAAAGCCTGTCTCTAATAAAATACAAAAAAATTAGCTGGGCGTTGGTGGCACACGCCTGTAGTCCCAGCTACTCGGGAGTCTGAGGCAGGGGAATCGCTTGAACCCAGAAGACGGAGGTTGCAGTGAACAGAGATTGCACCACAACACTCCAGCCTGGCGATAGAGCAAGACAGCGTCTCAAAAAAAAGTAAAGACAAAAAAACTGGATAGGCAAGCCACATTCTGACAGGAAATAATTGCAATACATATATCTTACAAAAGATTTATTTACAAACAACTTTCCTCTCTTAATAATTAAAATAAAAACATTTTTAAAATGAGCAAAAGCTTTGAACAAGCATTTTCAAAGTTCATTTTATAATTTACCAATAAATACATTAAAAATGTGCCGATAAACACACAAAAACATTGAATAACATCATTAATCATTAGGGAAATGCAAATTAAACTGACAGTATTACACACTACATACCTTTAGAATACCTAAAGTTGAAACCATTGACCATATCAAATGCTGGTGAAAATATGAAGCAAGTGAAAAATCACATGCACTGCTTGAGGAGGATAACATAATACAAACTCTTTAGAAACTGGTCTAGAATTTTCTTATAAAGTTACTATAGTAGTTTTACATTGCTAGTGTAATAAATTACCACGAACTTGCTAGCTCAAAATAATGCTAGGGGAAAAATCTCTTTCTCTTCCCTTTAGAGTTCCTGGAGGTTGCCTGAATTCCTTAGATCATGGCTACTTCCTTCAGCTTCAAAGCCAGCAATGTTGCTTTCTCTGATCCTAGTCCATTGTCAAATCTCTCTTTCTCTCTCTCTGACTATAGCCAAGAATTGTTTTTCACTTTTAAGGATTTATGTTACTAGATTGAGCCCACCCAGATAATCCAGAATAATGTCCCTATCTCTCCTCGAACATGTGCATCTTCTATTCAGCCAGACTCAAGGCACCTGTCATGCAGATTTCAGGAGCTTCTTGCTTCAAGGGCTCTCTTTTCTTTCATACGTTATCTTTAATCATATCTGCAAATTCGCTTTTTCCATGTAGTGTAACATCTTCACATATGAAAAGGATTAAGGTGTGGACATCTTTAAGGACGCATTTTTCCTACTGACCATGGTTATCTTCAAATTTACTTCTAGATATTTACTCAAGAGAAAAAAGAACGTATAAAGTTGTATGTATAAAAAAGACATCTAAAAGTATCCCTAGCAACCTTATTCATACTAACCAAATATTAGAAACAACCCAAATGTCACAATTTGAATGGATAAACAAAATGGATAAACAAAATCCATATACAGACTACTGATACATGCAACAATATTGATGAATCTCAAAAGCATGCTGATTGAAAAAAAGGAAGCAAACTGTAATGCATACTGTGTTATTTTGTTTATATGATTTTTAAGAACTGGTGATAGAAATCGTAATAGTGGTTGCCTCTAAAGGGGTCAGGGCTAGATACTGAGAGATAGTATAAGGGATCATTATGGGGTGGTGGGAATGTTCTATATTGTGATAGAGGTATGGGTTATTTATACTGGAATGCCAATAGTTTTAACTTAAGTAGACACTTGATAATGTATTTTGGGGGGTACCAATTCTTTAGGCACATGGAGCGATTTTCTTTCTACCGTTCTTAAGGGAAAAAAGGAAGATTGAATACTTTAGGATTAAACAACAAAAACTCACTTCAATAAAAAACCTTGCCTCTGTTATGGAGCTTTTATTCTTCTAGTGAGTACCGTTAGTGAAATAAACTAGGCATTAGGGATAAAAAAAAAAATCCCTAAACTAAAATACAACCACCACCAGCAAAACATAAATACCCTGTACTGTTAGATTAACTGATGTATTAATAATGAAATAAAATTTAAAATATAATGACACACATATAAAAACTGAAAGCATAAATTTTAGCATAATATAGGACTAAAATTTTATTCCTTAAAGGTCTTGCTATTATTAAGGCTGTTAATTATAGCTTACATTAATTTACCAACTATTGTTTGGCAGACACTAGCAAGACATCTTACATTATATTAATATTCAATATGACCTTACATAGTAGGTATTATCGCCATTTTATAGAAGAAAGAACTGAATATTAAAGTTGATAAGCAACTTGCCCAAGTCTACCCGACTCTTAAGTGGCAGAGCAGTGTTTAACAAAAAAATGCCTGGTTTCAAGCACCCTTCTACACATACACAGACACACACACACAAACACACAGATAGAGAGATAGTTTTCTAATTTAGAAGAACTTTATCCGATTTGTGATATAAGTTTCACCTAGAAAGTATTTAGACTGCAACGTACAGAAGAGAAAGAGTACAACGTTCAACTGGAAATTTACTTGCCCTGAAGGCATACTTTGGAACATTACCTGGGGCCATCAGCAAGATATATTGTCTTTACTTCCCTGGTGTATTTCTGAATAAGACCCGCATGTCATCGTGACAAGGAAACTAGGTAAACCAAAGGTTATGAAACTTGTGTTCTCTGTCCTGTTACTTCATCTACTCAAGAACTTGGAGAAGTCACTTGTCTAGCTTTCAGTATTTCTGGTCTATATAATGTTCGACATTTTAGATTATTATGACCCAGTAATGCTGTTCTTTGAAACAGTTAGAGTGTCCACTGTGGACATGAGTATGTAATAACTAAATATTGTAAAAGAAAAAATGCACTGGACCAGTTAAACAGGTAAGGAAGACATTATTCATGACTGTTGCAATAGGAGAGACTTTTGCAATAAGGAAGAAAGTTTGAATCCAGCTGTGCTGAAACAAAAGGCAGGGGGATTCTTCATGCTGGTATGAGCTAATGGAGAACATTAAGATATCAGTCCAAGTGACTGGGCCATTTGTGTTTGCTAGTTGGTGCTTAGCAAAGTTAGGCTTCTATATTTCCACAGGGACTGAGACAGGGTTCTGTCTTTCTTCATGACTACATTTCAAATGGATGACCCCTAGATCTTTGAGAAAGACATTTCTGGGCTACAGAAGATACACTTCTCAAAAGGGCAAAGAAAGGGTTTATAAGTTTTCTTAAAGTAAATATCCTAAGGAAAGAAAAAACAGGGGCCTGTAGTCAAGATGCCTGTTTAAAATTTTGTCAAGTTGAGGATAGTGTTGAAGTTATCTTGGTCAAAATCAAGAATGTTAATTACAAGTATTTTTCTTAACAGTGCTTTATTTTCTTGACTCTAACACAACATTTGTAGAGGGAAGGGGACAGTACTACTCATTACATTTACTTCATGGCAATATCTACTATAAATTAGCTTCTTCCTCCTGTTTTATATTTACATTTTGCTTAATCCCTTCTTCTTAGTGCTGAGCACAGTGGTTGCTCCATATATGTGTGATAATTAGAAAGACAAAGTAATTAACTAAAGAGTTTAGAATAAAAGAATAAAGAAAGGAGTGAATGAATACAATTTGATGATGCACTCATTGGTGAAATGATAAAGGCAATATGTCAAAATGCATTGGTATTGTAGGTAGTGACATTAGATGTTCAGGAAAAAACACAAACTTCCTAATTTCTAAAATCAGAGGACCCTGTTAGAGACTTAAGATTTAATTTCATTACAAAGTGTGTGTGTGTGTGTGTGTGTGTGTGTGTGTGTGCATGCGCCTCAAGTTAAATAAAAACTTGAGATTTATTTATAAATTATAAAGCCAATATACTTGAAAGTGGAATTTCTTACAGTATTTTTTCCCTCCCTTTTAGAAACACTCATTACACTTATTGTTTATTACTTGGTCAGTGCTTATTTTCTTCACTGGAATTCGAGAGGTCAGGAATGATTTCTGACTCACTCATCTTATATCGTTTCTACAAAAAATAATGTCTTGTGCATAACAGGAACTTAATAAATATTTGTTGAATAAAAGAGTATACAATAATAGAAATGTTAAATTATTTCCTAACCCAAGTTAAAACAAACCCTCCCCTGTTTAAGAAGGAGATACTTTTAACTGCCCTTCTTTGCTTTTCAAATGCATCACAGAAAGTTCTCGAATCCTCTGTTGTCTAACTGGTACTTTCTAATAGACTCATTGTTTTGCTGAATCTGCCAAGTCAGGTCAGAATTAATTTCACACTTGAATTTTAATGGATATAATGATTCTCTGATTCCAGGTAGGATTAATCTAGCACCTTGGCAAGTTTTTATATAGCAGCCATTTGAAATATATTCAAATGATATGTTTTGAGAATAAGGACATTGGATTTCAGGAATATGAGATTTAATAATTCATCCAAAGGTAGAAAATGATTGGGTCAAGAGCTCAGGTTGCTTGCTATTCATTTCTTTTCTGTCTATTGAAAAACTCTGTTGTGATGGCAGTTCTTTTCAAACCTTATGTATTGTGACTAAAAACTTATTTAATTACTTATTTTTGCTTCAATAAAAGGAATATTTCCATTTTCATGAATCAATATCAGTTCAGTCTCTGTTTTATAAAGCGTAACCACTGGTTGGCTTATAAAGACCTTCTATATTAATTACATGTGTTTGTACATGTGGTTTGGGGGTTAGTGAGGCACTCTAAATGACGAATTGAGCTCAAACATTTGTATTAATATTTCATTATTTTTTTAGCTGAAATATTTAGTTGAGTGGTTGGTTAGTTATTGTAAACTTTAGTCTTATTTTTTGATGAAATGGATAATTTATTTCTATCTCTAAAATAAATACTGTTTTTGTACTTTTGTTGGTTACATATACACACAGAATTCATTGTGGCAAACAGGACGTGCATCTTTATGTACGTTAAATACTGAAGAATCTGTAAGTATAAAAAGTTAACAGGAAAAACTCAGTTAAGATGAATCTACTTAACGTTAAAATGTCACAATGTTAGCAGCAGTGAATCCATACAGGTCTGCAGCAACCTCAATTCTTGCCTCCTCAGAAGAAAGAATTTGACCGAGGGGCATAGGGCACAGTGAGAGACTGAGGCAAGTTTTAGAACAGGAGTGAAAGTTACAATTAAAAAGTTTTAGAACAGGAATGAAAGGAAGTAATGTACACTTTGAAGAAGGCCAAGTGGCAACTTGGGAGATTCAAGTGCATCGTTTGACTTTTGACTTGGGGTTTTATATATTGGCATGCATCCAGGGGGTTGCATCTCTCTTACTCTGATTCTTCCCTTGGGGTGGGCTGTCCATATGCACACTGGCCTGCCAGCAGTTGGAAGGGGCCACATGAGCAGTATGTTTACTAAAGTTGTACACATGCTCACTTCAGGCATTTTTCCTTTACCAGTCGAGTGTTCCTAGAGGAAGGTCATACACCAGTTAAACTCTGCCATTTTGCCTCTTAGTGTGCATGCTTGAGCCCACTTGCCCAAATCATGAGATCTTATCAGGAAGCTGCTGATCACCAGCTTCAGGCACTTTCTTTCTACTGGGAGACTGCCTTTCCCTGTCATTGGCTGCAAAAAATTATTATTTTAGAGAGAGAGTTGAACAACCACCTGACCATCACCTGATACTTGCCTGACATTCCTGGTGGGGCAGAGGCGGCCCTCTCCTGCCCTGCTCATGTCTGCCTAACTACCTACTCTAACAATAATAAAGAGTGGAGGTTGGGTAAGGTGTCTCATGCCTGAAATCCCAGCACTTTGGGAGACTGAGGCAGGCGGATCACCTGAAGTCAGGAGTTCAAGACCAGCCTGGCCAACATGGCAAAACCTCATCTCTACTAAAAATACAAAAAAAAAAAAAAAAAAAAATTAGCCAGGCCTGGTGGCACATGTCTGTAATCTCAGCTACTTGAGAGGCTGAGACAGGAGAATCACTTGGACCCAGGAGCCAGAGGTTGCACTGAGCCAAGATCACGCCACTGCACTCCAGCCTGGGTGGCAGAGTCAGACTCTGTCTCAAAAGAAAAAAAACAAGAGTAAAAACAAGTTTGCTTGGGACTTAGAAAATGAACTATAAAAGTACTTTTTATATTTAAAAATTAGATGGTAAATAATTATTAGAAAATAAGTGTTCCTTTGTAATGTACAGTTTTCATCAGATTGAGTGATAGAAATATATGACTTAGTTTACTTTTCTTTTGACTTTTGCAGCAACATCATTATAAGGGTCATGAGTACAAAAACATTCAAGGGCTTCATCAATTTTCCTAGCAGCCTTGATTAATATTTTAATACCAAAATCATTTTCTCTTAAGACACACCCTTATCAATTTTTCTTCAAGCAAAATTTTATTTTTTGGTTATTATTTGAATTTCTCTAACATTTATTAAGTATGTTATCAGGCCCTGTTATACGTAATTTACAGGCAGTATCTTATTTCATCCTCACAAAATCACTATTTAATAAGAGCTGTCATCTTCTCATTGTACAGATCAAAAATTAAAGGCAAGAGAGAATAAGTTTGCTACCCAATATCCAGAGTTAGTACATGATAAAGCAAGAATTCCAACTGAAGCAGCCTCCAAAATTCATACACTTAGGTGTCAATGCCCAAAATAAGATTGTCTCATAAACATTAAGATTTTGTTTGGGACATGTCCATCTTTAACACGTTTGTGGAATCACTTAGGATACTTTTCCATTGTTTTTACACCTGCAGTATTATTTTTCATGGACTCATACATTATGTGAGAAGATATGTTTGAGTGGATACTAATTTCATAATCAGTTTACTCATGGGTCTTTACATCTTATGACAATTTTTGCTTTTTTTGAACCTGGTAAATATGGGGACTCTGACAAATAAAGCTCACTGACAAGTTCCTACTGTACTGGTTAATAAATATATGTACCTCTGTAGGGATATACATGAACTGACCAATAGGTAAACACAAAGAAGGCACACATAAAACTAGTACCAAGGCATTGTGACCTCCAGCACTATTCGTTGAACTGGTTAAAAATCCCGGAAACAGAGGGAACCTTGTCTTCTTCTTGCCCCATCCCTCACAAGGCCTGTGTGCACTAGCTCATGTTAAAAAGATTCCTGAACAGGAAAGAATGATTTTGAGTTTCAGCAGAACATTCCTTCAGAGAAAGTTCTTTGTAAGAAGTAATCTTTTAAGTCTCTCACTATTAAAGCAAATGGGGTAAAATTTAACCTTTAAAATTTATGTCATTCATTTATTAACTTCTGAAATCTTAACGTTGATTTTTCTGTTATTTTTCATTTAATTCTCAAACATGTAGACTAGCTAAGTTGATCTACAAGTCTACAGAGTCTACATCCCCTAAGTTATTGACAACTATTTTGTGTATGATATGATTTAGCTGTATCCTCACCCAAATCTCATCATGAATTGTAACTTCCATAATCCCCATGTGTTGTAGGAGGGACTCTGTGGGAGGGAATTGAATCATGAGGGTGTTTCCCATGCTGTTCTTGTGATGGCAAATAAGTCTCATGAGATCTGATGGTTTTATAAAGGGAGTTCCCCTGCACATGCTCTTTTGCCTGCTGCCATGTAAGATGTGCCTTTGCTCCTCCTTAGCCTTCCACCATGATTGTCAGGCCTCCTCAGCCGTGTGGAACTATGAGTCTTTTAAACCTCTTTTTCTTTATAAATTACCCAGTTTCGGGTATTTCTTCATAGGAGTATAAAAATGGACTAATACAGTGTAAAATAAAAAGATGTGGTTTACCCAGCAGTATTCACAGCTTTTTAATTTAAATTCTGGACACACTTTCACAGTTATGTTGAATGTCAAGAAATATAATTCTGTATAACTTTTAATTTTTTTCCTCTTATTGTCAATTATCACTTTACCATGTATTGTGATCTATAGAAATGTCAAGATCAAAGTGAACACTAATCCCAGAAAGTGAGGTAGCTTTGTATTTTCTACCATGGGCCAGGTGCATCTGTGTTTTGATCTTTGCTGATTTATAAAACTGCTCTAATCTTGCCCATGATTCACTTTCTTTATTTCTTTTCCAAAGGCAAGAAGGCCTCATGTTGCTTTCTTTAAATCTCAACTGCTGACTTTTCAATTCTCTAGGAGAACAAATTTTATTTCAAAATATGCTTGGAAAATTGAGTAATGAACTTTTTCAAATTGTAAGATTGTTATCACATCACTACCAAGATATGTAATGATAGTCTTCTTAATGTTTTTTCTATGCAGACTAAATAAAAATAACAAAGTCTTTTATTTTTCTGTGCAAATAACACTTCTTGGTGAATTCTCAGTATTTTTGGCCATATGGCTCTTTGCTAGAAGTAAACAGCTACTGGTAAAACTCTTCATTGATTTTACAGTTGTGAAATTGTAAATACACAGTGGTTATAATCCAGCAGAGCAACGCATCTTGTACCTCTTGCCAGGGAGGGTCATGTGTAAGCCCAAAGGAGAGTGATCTCTCTTGTATCTATATGATTTAGCACTTCATTACATTGTATTATCCTTTTATTGTTTATTTTTTTCTAATTTCTTAGTTTTTAGAAATAGCATAAATTCTTTAGGGCCAGGGATTGTGGCACCTGATTGTTCTAACCTTTTCATTTTCTCTTTTTTTTGCCTAAAATCCTAGCACATAATGCTTGTACTTGAAATTCAATACCATTTACTATTTAATAATTCATATCTAAATCGATATGATTTTAAAAAGTAACTTCCCTACATACGAACAGGATGGGTGAAATTCATGAATCTGCTGAAGTTTTCTTCAACAAAAATCGTGAAAGTATATTTATTAGTTCAACTTCTTTACCCATCTCCTATTTTTATATGCTTACAATATTTCTTTCTCCTGTTACAATAATGCTAAATTTTATTTTGGTCCTTCCTGATAGATACTATTAAATGATGACAAATTAAATAAAAGGGAAATGATGTTTCTTATATAAGATTGGCAACTGAAACAAGCAGGTTTTAGTAAGATAAATTTGATTCTTTTCTAAGAGGATAAACTTGTAGAAGTATGAATAAGTAAACTATAGCCCAGTGCGGTGACTCACGCCTGTAATCCCAACACTTTGGAAGGCCGAAGTGGGAGGATCATGAGGTCAGGAGATGAAGACCATCCTGGCCAACATGGTGAAACTCTGTCTCTACTAAAATACAAAAAATTAGCTGGGCGTGGTGGCGTGTGCCTGTAGTCCCAGCTACTTGGAGGCTGAGGCAGGAGAATCGCTTGAACCTGGGAGGCGGAGGTTGCAGTGAGCCGAGATCGCACCATTGCACTCCAGCCTGGGCAACAAGAGCAAAACTCAAACTCAAAAAACAAAAAATTATCAGCTTTCTATACATTCATTTATGACTTGACAGTGCAGGGAACATGGATTACAGACCAGGAACATACTACAGACCCCTAATACATTCAGCCCTATCTGCCTCTGCATCCTCAGGAAGGAGTATGTTTACTACTGGCCCTTTGCTCATTCTCTGAATTTAAGTTTTCTTATCACATAAAGGCAGCATTTTAATCCATGAGTGTCTCAGTACCATCCATAGTCAATGGTATTTTGAGAAACTCCCCATGTGATACTTCTCTTTAGAAAGCTCTCTGCATCATGCTTATTAAGTTATATCACACCCAACAAGATTTCCTTGTAAATCTCCTCGGAGAACCCACTGAGAATCTAAATAGAGAGAACCGCTGATTAACTGGAAAACTCAATTAATCATCATTGTTTTCTTTTTCTTCTTGAGCTGTAGTTGAAGGATAAAGAAGTTAATAGCAATAACAATAGCAGTAACAAAAGAATTATGAATGAATAAAATGTTTTCTACAGTGTGACTAGGATCTGTCAAGACTAATTCTGATCTCTGGTGGACCAATTTTTAGCCCTGAGGCTGCTCACAAATCATGGGAAAAATAAATTCGATTTCCTACAGTGTACTTTCCAAGGTATACATGGTCTAACGCATTTAAGAAATATTTCAACCCACTAGTAGGAGGAAAGAAAAAGCATTCATGACAATCTATGAACAGGAAATTTTATTTTGTAAGATTGTACTGTTGTTTAACTCTTTTACCTAGTCAATGTTTATAATCATTATACACATTGTTTTCCATATCTTTTGAACAAATCTGGCAAGCTCTTAATGCTTCCGTGGCTCTGGGAGTCAAGTTCTGCATCTACACACAAGATGGGGGCCTAAGTGCCTGAACCTTTTCTTAGAGCTGAATGAGTCAGGAGTGGACTTAGTTCAAGCTGGATAAGCAGCCTCTCTCTCCATCTGGTCCATCTGCATGTGGCTAGAACCAAGGACACATGTTCTCAGGTGCTGTGTGGATACTGTGTGCAGAGAAAATCAGAGAAAAGCGTCTGCACGTAGAAGCACGTGAGCCAAGAAAGAGCCTGTGTGACCCAAGAGAGCAAGAAACCTAGAGCACAGCAGTCTTGGTGCCTAGCAGCTTTTTCTTTCCTGATGCTAGGCTTCCCTGGCTCTACATTCTGCTTTTGAATTGTATTACATGAACCTTGATCCTGAAATATGCTTAGTCAGTACTAGTACACTTCCAATGTTTACAGCCAAAAAATCTTAACTCACACACACTTAGTAGCAGTTAAGTCCTTTTAATCTATATTTCTTGTACTCCTAGAAACTATTTTTCTCATCGTGACGTTTTTATAACTATCATTATGATGTGCTTCCTATACAAAGCAAAGTACTTGTATTATCAGATTCTCACTACTTTGAAGTAGGTACTATTATGATCTCCCCTTGACAAATGAGGAAAATGAGGCACAAAGTGTTTACAGATATTGCAAGAGAGATTGTGATGAAATGGGGGTTTGGTCCTAAGCATTTTGGTCCAGAGCCCATATTCATAAACCCCAATTCAGTTTGGAAAATAAAATAATAGTGAAAAAGTTCATGTACAACATATGGAACTAGGATTTAAAAATGTGTGTATATATTTGTTAGAATATGTGTGTATCTGTGTGTGTGTGTGTGTGTGTATCCTTTTATATATGGAACACTCACCCATCCCAACTGTATGTGGAAAATGTCATGTGAAATTATGAGAATATTCATATGTTCTTTGTTTCTTCATATACTTCCTTGGAATGTTTCCTTCATTTATTACATCTCTGAGTGAAAAATGACACATTGCACAATGGCCATAATCAGGCCATGGATGCCTACTATTGATACGTGTGCTCACACAGACCTCTGAACTGAATCCCCAATTTAGACTGCTGCCTTCTGTAAGCAGTCGTCACCTTTGCATAATCTCTCCACTCTGAGCTCTATCCAGGAAAACCCAGTGAGACAGGGTGAATTTAAAAGGCCACCATAAACTGAGCCACGAATTACCAACAGATCCAGTGGTTCAAGAATAATTTCCTCTTCAGCTTGAAACGTAAGTATGGCTCACTGAGAAGCCATATTACCTCCTGATTCCAAGGAAGGCCTGTCAGAGCAGAACTCACAGAGTGTAAAGTTTTTAAAGTGCATTTGTTATCGCTTGCTAGTCTGACTATTAAAGTGAAACACTACACACCGTTAAACCTTCAGACTAGCACTGCAAAAATACTTATCAAAAATACAGGCTCTGGGAGATTTGTTTACTCTAGAAATATGCTGTCTTTGCAGTTACGTTTTCGTTAATGAGAAGGCAGTGCAGGATTTGCCTTTTTCATTGGAGGGGCAAAAAGCCAAATGAAGGGAATTGTCCTTAAAGTGATATGGCAATACCCAATTCCTAGGCAGGGTTTGGAAATCTTCCTGAAAACATTTTACGTTCTGAAATAAAAGAAAACCATTTGTTTTGCCTGAAAATTTTGTATTCAGCAAGTTACTGATCTATAATATGACAGCTGAAAACGTGAGTCTGAAAATAAGCCCCTCCAGGTAGGAAGCATTGTTTTCCTAAAAACAAGAAGCCATATATTCCTTTGCATTTGGGCTAATGCAAAATTATCATGAGCTTAGGGAATGATAATGAGTTGAATCGGTACTGTTTTGAAGCACTGTAAAAGTTTCCATTAAAAGTTTAGAAGTGACGCTGTCTCCAGTTACTAGAAGATTCTGGCCTCCATTTGTAAACCTGTGCATGCATTCCGTTCTTTGGCTTGCTCCTTGAGTATGGCATTTGCTTGGACAGCATGTGACCTGCCTTGTCAAACAATACAGGGTAGAGTAAAGGTGGAGGCAAATAAATAAATAAATAAATCAGTAAAGCTTCAGAGGCATTTTCTTGCTTTTCCCATTTAATTTTTCATTTGGGTTATAAATGGCACCTCAGACAGAAGGAAGCCTCCTGGGTTTGTCAGGATTCTCTGCTGGCCTAATCATGAGCTTGACACATGTAGAAGTGAGGCACTGAGAGAATTAGTGATTGCGGCAAGAAGAAAGGAAGAGTGATCAATTATTCACCACATGCCACCAAATACAAGAAGCATGACCACTGCTTGTCTCTCGCGTTCTCTCCTCTGTGCACAAACAAAGCTACTCCCACAGCCTACATGCCATTGAAAGAAATATTCCCTTCAAGCAATTCTCATTTTCACCAGTCCATTTACATGTGACTTTATAAGTGGACAACCATAATTAAGGAAATAAGTTAATGAATGTTCTCTTAGTTAGCTTCCTTAATTTCTTCCTCTCCATTTATTAAAACAGAAAAGAAACAAAAAAGACCTAGGTGAGTGACCTTGAGAATAAATTTATATATAAAATTGATTTAGGAAATACCTGTAACATGTTAAAAGTAATGCAAACGGTTTGGTAAATTCCTTGTGATTTTCTGTGTTTAAAGAGATACTTCCCATCATGAAAAGTCAGAGAAATTATCTGACACTAAAGAGCATTCCAATCTCTTGTTTTCTTTGTGGATTCACGTAGCAGTCATTTCATCAATAGATATTCTTGAGCAAAGGAAAATGGGCAAGTTTGTAACTCTTCAATTGTAATCATTGCTTTGTGACCCATCTCTGTCATTGATGAAGTGTGTCATTTTGGGTAGCTCAAACTTGTGATATCCAAGCTTCTTTTATCTATACAATACCCCATCTTCCAGTAATACGTGCTCCACAGGGTTGTTAGAAGTATTAAATGAGATGATATTTGTAAAAACATTCAATCAATGTTACTTCCCATATACCCAGTTATACCTGTAGCAAAATTGTTCTGCATATTTGCTCATTATTAAAATTTACCATCAGAGGCCAATAAATGGGTATCTACTCTCTCTCAGATTTTAATATGCTCTATATTGCTTTTGCATCTGAAAGAACCACTTATGGATGCTTTCAAAATATCTTTTTTTCTAAGTTCTATAATATATTTATTATGTAGATTTATCATTTGCTAAAACTCAATATGTGCCAAGAACTATGTTAAGCTATCTTTGGCTTATACAGCTCTTTGAAGCCTCACAGTAATCCTCAGAAAAATTTATTATAATTTCCATTTTACAGATGAATACATTGAGACTCAGAGGGCTTAAGTATCCTCAATCCCAGACCTGTGAAAATCCAGTCCATGGTCTTTATTAAGGTTTCTCATCTCTTTAATATACAGACAAATTTCCTGGGTGTATTAATCCGTTTCACACTGCTGTAAAGATACTACCAAAGACTGGGTAATTTATAAAGGAAAGAGGTTTAATTGACTCACAGTTTTGCATGGCTGGGGTGGCCTCAGGAAACTTAACAATCATGGTGGAAGGTGAAACAGGCACATCTTACGTGGCAGCAGATAAGAGAGAGTGAGTGTGTGAGAGCACGGGAAAAACCATCGTTTATAAAACCAACAGATCTCATGAGAATTCATTTACTATCATGAGAGCAGCATGGGGGAAACTGCCCCCACAATCCAATCACCTCCCACAGGGTCCCTCCCTCGACACATGGGGATTATGGAGATTACAATTCAAAATGAGATTTGGCTGGGGATACAGCAAACTATATCACTGGGAAATCTTGTTAAGATGGAGACTCAATAGGTATCGGATGAAGCCTGGAAGTCTTCATTTCTAACAAGCTCCTCAATGGGGCCAACGCTTCTGGTCCTCACACCACACTTACTGTTGCAAGACTCTAAAACACCCTGCCGTACTACTTAAAGCTAATCATGAGCACTCAGTAAATATCAAATAAAAAATGAAAACTCGTCGAAGGCTAGAGAGAAGGATGACATCTGATGATTTGCTCGGGTGAAAATTTCTGGAATTAATGACTAATTTTTTGTTGGGCTCACATCAAAGTAAGAACAGGTCTTTGACTTTGTTACAAATGACCTTTGCCATATTCATGTGTTTCCCCTCATTGAGCCAGTTTGCTGGACCCCACTGAGCTCCAAGCCATATTTGGCCTGCTAGAGATTCTTGACCACCCAGTAGACTAGGGGATGTTGCCTCTACCATCTGGCTACTTTCCAGATCCTTCCCTCACTTGTCATGTGTTGGTCTTTCTGACTGATCACCAACACCAAAATTCATGTTGGCCTCAGCTGAGAAATCATCAGAGTGAATTTATTATTAAAATAATAGTAACCTAACTTTAGGGAAAGAAAAAATATAATGAGGGAAATGAGGAGCAGAGAGAAGAAAGGAGGAAAAAAATAGCAGAGAAGAGGAAGGAATATAAACACAAGGACCACAGACTTTAGAACTGTTGATGTCTCAGAACCCAGGAAATAAGAACGGTTAATAGAAAAAGAAGAAATCCTAGGAGCTAGCCTGACAGTTGCTTTCTTGCAGAAAATGATGTTTGTCATCTATCACTGTCTGACTTAGTCCAGAGACACTTTTTCCCTTTGCCTCACGTGTGCCATGTGACTTTGTTTCCAAAGTGTTTACTCTCCATCCCCCTCCTTGTAAGAAATAGTAAAGGAGTCAACAATAGACATTAATGAGGAGGATCTAATACATGGCAGGCACTGTGGTCAACAAGTGGGAATTTGGACTCTGATCTCATGAAGCAGAGTCTAATGGGGAAGCCAGGGGCCTCATCCAAATGCAACTACCCCCACTGAGGCAGAACCTCTGACTTCTAGCCTACAATTCCTAAAGTTCTCTTTTCTGAATTTCATTAATAAGCCTTTGCCACTGGACCACAAATTGTACTTTATAAATGTGTAGTTCAACTAATAGGGAAAAAAGCAACTTTCATCATTGTGTTCATGTAGGTGTGCAGAGGCAAGTATACACCTGTGTGTTTCTTTCAACGTTGCACAATTTTATATTACATATTTACAATTATTGTGGTTAATGTACATTCTGATTGCCCACGTAAACATAACTAGGCTTGCTGATAGACACATCCAAGCCAGATAAAGCCAGAAGGAGGGAGGGAAGGAGGGAGGGAGGGAGAGAGAGTGAGTGTGTGTGTGTGTATATGTGTAAGAGGATACAAGTTAAGTAAAGCAAACTATGACTTTTTTTGCTTTCATTCTATATGACGAAGATCACCTGGGCCAGAGGTGATATAAATACATGCTCATATAAGTACATGTTAATGACTTCATTGAACAACAATCCTCAGGTATGGTTCTAGCATAAGGGAGCAAAAGTAAGTGCAGAACTTCTATTTATGGAGATTACAGTCTAGTAGAAGAGACAGTCATAAGAATAATGCAAATGCGTGTACAAACATGCACCAAGAACATGTTATGAAATAGATTTCTCTTACAATGGAGTATATTAAGAAAGGAATCTGAACGAAGGTGACTTTTGGAGAGGGAAGCTTTTCTTAGGAGGTGACTTGAACTGAACTTTAAAAGATAACTCAGGAAAACTTGTAAATAGGAGCAACCCTGTTGTGGAAGGGCAATTGAAATGTTCCAGGAACTCCCCAGCCAGTGTATCTGGAGGTCAGAGAACATAGCAGGAGGTACAAACAGAGGCCATAGGTAACCTGTGGTCCCTTTGATGCAGTGAAGGATGGCAATAACCATATAAGTAAAACATAGTGTTTATTTGATTCAGCCCTAGCCATGATATTTTGGGTATGTGGGGAAGGGGTGTGAAACAGTGATATGGCTTGGATCTGTGTCCCTGCCCAAATCTCAAGTCCAGTTGTAATCCCCAGTGTTGAAGGTAGGGCCTGCTGAGAGGCGACTGGATCATGGGGGTGGAGTTATGAATGGTTGAGCAACATTCCCTTTTGATACTGTATAGTGAGTGAGATCTGGTTGTTTAAAATTGTGTGGCACCTCCCCCAAACCCTTGCTTCTGCTCTGGCCATGTAAGATGTGCCCGCTTTCCCTTTGCCTTCCTCCATGATTCTGAGTTCCCTGAGGCCTGCCCAGAAGCAGATTCTGCCATGCTTCCTGTACAGCCTGTGGAACTGTGAGTGAATTAAACCTCTTTGTAAATTATTCAGTCACAGGTATTTTTTTAGAGCAGTGTGGGAACTGATTAATACATACAGGTACTGGGGAACACAGTTCCCATTTCCTTGTCTCTCAGCCACATTGTTCTGTGGTTCCTTCTGGAATTATCACACATTGTCCATGTGTTTAGGTGCCCAGGCCAAAGTCATCTTCTCTTGATTCTGACATTATCTATAGAGATATCCTTTGCTACTTCCTACGTGCTTTTATGCTACAGCAGAAACTGGGATAAAGGAGACAGAAAACCATCTTCAGTTGGATTTGCATTATAATCTATTGTATAACAAAACTGGTGTTTTATGTAGATTTCTAAATATTTTCCATAGGGACTAGAATGATGGAACACTTTACTGGGGCCATTGCAAATGGTGGTGTAAGGTGTGCAGGGGCCAACTTGTGTGACAGATCTGCTAAACAATCCATCATCACCATTGTCCTTGCCTCAGCCTTGCCCACCCTCATTCTTTGAACTGGTTCCCTCAGTTTTCCAAGGATTTCATTCCCATAAGGAATGAAAATCCCTCTCACATAGACTCCTGATCAAATCATGAACCCAAACATATCCCCATCTCTAGGACACCTCCTGTGATGTGTATTCACTGCTCAGCTTCCAGATTCTAAAAATGTGTGCTCTGATGTAAGTCCCAAATAAATTTAAATGAGTTAAAATTTTATTGAACGTCTACTATGAGCTTAACACATTTGATATTTTGAAAAATATCAATGCCCAATTCCTTTACTATAATTTATCAATGTAGAAATTGGGATAAGTTTAAAATTGAGAGGCCCAGGAATTGGGCTTATATCCCTGTTGCCTCAATGACCAGGCATGTGATCTTAGGAAAGTCACTAAGTTCCTTTGTGCTCAAATTTCCTTTTTTATTTTTTGAAAGAAGAGTGGAGATACTGCTTCATTCATTCATTCATTCATTTCATATCTCTTGCATGCCTGTTATACAGAAGATAATAGAAACCCCAGGGATACAAGGTTGAGAAAAAGAAACTTGTGTTCCACATTTGTGAAAATTATAGTCTGCAGCACAAGGTTATTCTCAAAATCAATAAGATAATGGCTGTGAAAGTACTTTGAAAATGACAAATATTGCACATGCATTAATTTTACTCATCACCCCCATGCTTAAGAAATTCAGAAGATTTTTCAGGGCAACAATGATGACATGAATAAAACATGTAGAAATAAGTTTTACAGAAAAGGATAGACCTGTGTAGTGTATTTTATAGTCTAGTCCACCAATGCAGTAAAATTTCAAAGACGGACATTTGAAGTTGGTATGGAAGGATCAGAGAGACTTCCTGGAGGAGATAAAACTTGAGTTGGCCCCTTGACAGATGAGTTTCCATAAAGGATTACCAGTACCTTTCTGCTTTCTTGATCCTTAGAATGTTTAATGAATAAAAATGCCTATGGTAAAGCAATGCATTGTGTTGACATATTTTAACATAGAGATCTCATTGTATTACTACCATAATGACCATAGGACTGGTTTAATTACTTCTCTTAACAGCATGGGTTTGAAGCAGATTTAGAGATTTCACTGTTGCTTAAAACTAAATGGAAAAAAACAAAAAACTGATGGCTTTACAGAAGAAATAGAAAGGTAATTTATTTCTTCTACTGAAAATGCAGCAGATACCCTGTGTTTCCTCTGACTCTGTTGAATTGTAGTATGGTCAGTGAAATTGATATTCAGGTCAATATCATTCTTTAAACCTGCAATACTTTGTGGATATAATCTGTTTCTTATATGTTACTTTAAGTCATATTTTGCAAACGAACCTCATACTCGATCGGGGAACTTGGCTATTTCAACAGTCATAAAACAATAAAATAAAAACATAAAACAAAAAAATAAAAATAAAACTACTTATGAAATTGGTGATAAAATGCTTCAATATTTGTTGAAATAAAAAGCCATGTTATGTTTCATTAAAAAATGCATAAGAAACAGAAAACAGCTCCAACTGGGTTTCTGACTCAGTATTTTCTTCTTCTCCAAGTGAGCTCTTTCATACAAGATACTAAATTTAAAGTAAATATGGATGTCCCTCAGAAGCCAAAACCCTTGAAGAAAAATGTGAAAATATATGTTAAGGGTTTGTATGATAGAGAATGTTTGATTTAGAATCTTTTTAGTATAACCATAGTAGTTACAAAAATCTGACTACCTATTAAGTTTATTTTGTTTCCGTATTTAACCCCAATTACCCTGTGCAGGGGAATTCTTTTAAAATTTAATTCCCCCTCTCATTTTTTTTCCCTGCTTCTGCAAGCCTTTTTCCCATCATGTAAATTGCAGCAGGTGCACAAAATTGAAGACATCACAATTAAATGTAATCAAATATTTTAGGCACTAATGAACAGCTCCAGGAAAACAAGTCAAAAGAAAAAAAAAAAGCCTTTAAGTGAGTGGATTTTAAAACACCCGAGCCACCATAGGACCAATTAAGAGAGTCAGATACCAGGACACATCCTGACATTAATTATCTTTGAGTTCAGGGAAATAAAAAATAAAAGCAACAATTATCATAATAAATCTCCACACAGTGCTTGTAAGTTGTGCTAATCTACAACACACCTGGGTTTCAGATATTTAAGGCGAATACTCAATCAGTTGGTAACGACCTCACAGAGGGGCTCATGGGACATTTTTTCCTTCCTGTGATCTGCCAATCAGATAGAGGGGCTAAAACGATGTCCAACAGCTATGTCTGCTTTATTTCGCATCACTCATGAGTTGCAGATAGAAGCACTGCATAATTTATTCAATAAAGTAAGTCACAAAGCCAGTATTCTCTTTAGGGGATGTTTATTCAAAAAGAAGGAAAAGTCAAGAATAGATACTCAAGGTAAAAATTTGAATCGTTGGAGTCCCAAAGTCCCAGAATGTCTCTGTAAATTTATTCTCCCTGAAGCCAGAAAGAATCTTACTAAAGAGAACAAATATTTCAGTTTGGGAGTATGGGTTTTCATTTTTTTAAATGCACAGGAGGGGTCAGAGAAAGAAAGTTAAGTGCTATAAGCAAAGAGGAATAGAAAGAAAAACTTGTTGTTAAAATTGATCTAAATTCTACCGATAATTTGAGAACAAGAGCATAATATTTTAACAAAAAAGGATATTTAAAAGTTAGATGATTGCCAGGATTCTTTAATCAGGGAAAAAAATAACATAAATATTAATTAGAAAAAACTATACAAGTGTTTGTATGTTGAATGCCTTCAATGTGATTCAGGTAGAAATGTAAAATTAATGACATCTTCCTAAACTTTTGATTAATAGTTTAACATAGTAACATTTTCAGTGGACTCCTAGTGGTATTAGATGAAAAAGAAAACAAATATATGATTTTCATCTTCTTGTCCCCTCTCTGAACCCAGAGTGATAACTTTTCTTGAGGAAAGACACGTTCAAATTATATATGATTTTTTAAAGTTTTTACATTAATTTTAATATTTTGGGCCATGATGTTTATCCCAAAAATATAACTTTGATTATTCTGTCTCCTAATCAATTGAGAATTCTGATAATGCATGTGGTAATTTCCTCAAGTGTTAAAATATGTATGATGTTTGTGCAACTTTTAAATGTTTTATATCATACCGTGAAAAAGAAAAACATATACATATATTTATTCATTTTTGTTTGTTAGATCCACAATTTCAGTAGACTAAAAAATGTTGTAAAAGATAGTAAAAAGTAAACAAATGCTTTTATATTATGTAATACTTGACACAGACTAAAAGTGCTTCTAATCTAAATATTGGAGAAAACGAAATAGGCAGTTCTTTACCCACAGCTTACAACAAGCTGTGGAAACTCATTTCTAAATTTTGTACTTTGCAGTAACATTTTGATTCTTGTAAATTATATGCCTTCACATAGAATGTCCTCATATAATGAAAAATTTTGAGTTATTTTTATTGTACATCTGCACATAGCTATATAAATTATGGCATGGCTAAATGTTTAACCAACTTCTTTTTTTTTTTTTTTTTCCTGAGACAGAGTCTGGCTCTGTCGCCCAGGCTGGAGTGCAATGGCGCCATCTCGGCTCACTGCAGTTTCTGCCTCCCAGATTCAAGTGATTCTCCTGCCTCACCACGCCTGGCTAATTTTTGTATTTTTAGTAGAGACAGGGTTTCACCATGTTGGCCAGGTTGGTTTTAACTCCTGACCTCAAGGGATCTACACGCCTCAGCCTTCCAAAGTGCTGGGATTACAGGTGTGGGCCACCGTGCTGGGCCTAAACAACCTTTTTAAAAAATAATTTAATATTTTGGAAATATAGCCTTGGCTTCTGGAAAAGTTTTTTTGTTTTTGTTTGTTTTTTAGTGTTCTATCAAATCTAGAAAACACAAAAACATTTTAACACATTTTATTCCATCAAAATTTGAAATGTATTTATACAGAAAGGCATGATTACAAAAAGATTTAAGACATAAAATCATGGAGAACATATTTGCAAATGTATAGCAAAGTCTCAGCCTGCTATATAGGAATACCTGAGGCTGGGTCATTTATAAGGAAAAGAGGTGTATTTGTCTCACAGTTCTTCAGGTTGTACCAAAGCATGGCGCAGGCATCTGCTTCTGGTGAGGGCCTCAGGAAGCTTCCGATCATGGTGGAAGGCAAAGGGTAGCCAGACTCACTTGAAGAGAGAGGCAGAAAGAGAGAAGAAGGAAGAGACAGGAGGAAAGAGAGAGTGGAGAGAAGTGCCAGGCCCGTTTTAACAACCAGCTCTCGGGGCACATCTCCCAGGGAATAACAGAAGAACTCACTTATTACCTCAAGGAAGGCACCAAGTCTTTCATGAAGGATCCACCCCATGACCCAAATACCTTCCAAGATGCCCCACCTGTAACACTGGAGATCAAATTTCATCCTGAGAATTGGAGGGTCAAATATCCAAACTATAGCAGGTACTAACCTTAATAGATAAAAGTTCTCATGAACCATTTAAAAAATATCTATGTGGTTGTTTGTCAGCTCTCCCTGCTTTGCTGGCAGTGAGAGTGTCTCCGTGTGCACCAGCCACACGAGGAACATTCTCAGTGCAGCTGCTTTAAAAAAATAAAAATAAAAATATTTAAAAATACCCAATAATACAACTTTATAAATTACAATGAACATAGAAAATGGTGCTAACATTTAATAATACATAAAGAAATGCACACTTTAAATGCATTCAGTGCTTGAATGTGGAAACAATGACAGTTTTCAAACATCAAATATATAAAAAAAAACTAATTGATAATCACCATCATAATAAATAATAAATGGGGGATTATAAAATACCTTTATTAAAGGCTTTTCATTCACAATATCTTTCAGTAATAAAAAATGAGAATCAGTGCCTATGTCATTTAGAGACTGAGTAGTCTATAAACAGATTATAATAGACATTGAAAGTTAGAATTTTAATTTTATTGATATGAGAGAGTTTTGTAGCATACATTTCAGTGAAAGTAACAGGTATTTAAATATTTCTTAGTGTTATACTATTATATAATATGTTTAATCAAATAGTATGTGTGTATATATATATACACATATACACAGATACATATATACACATACATATACATATACTATATATATACACATATATGTATATATATGACATTCCTCTTTTTTTTTGAGTTGGAGCTTCACTCTTGGCATCCAGTCTGGAGTGCAATGGCGCAATTTCCGCTCACTGCAAACTTCGCCTCCAGGTTCAAATGATTCTCCTGCCTCAGCCTCCCAAGTAGCTGTGATTACAGGTACCTGCCACCATGCCCGGCTAATTTTTGTATTTTTAGTAGAGACGGGGGTTTCACCACGTTGGCCAGGCTGGTCTCGAACTCCTGACCTGAGGCCCACCTCAGTCTCCCAAAGTGCTGGGATTACGGGCGTGAGCCACCACGCCCAGCCAGCAGACATATTTCGTTTTGCCAACACAATATTTTTCTTTTAATTAGGCAAAGAAACATTTAGATCATGATCAGACATTTTTCTTTCTTTCTTTCTTTCTTTTTTTTTTTTTTTTTGAGACAGAGTCCCACTCTGTCACCCAGGCTGGAGTGCAGTGGTGCGATCTCGGCTTACTACAACTTCTGCCTCTCGGGTTCAATGGATTCTCCCACCTCAGCCTTCCAGGTAGCTGGGGTTATAGGTGTGTGCTACCACACTTGGCTAATTTTTTTGGATTTTTAGTAGAGATGGGGTTTCACCGTGTTAGCCAGGATGGTCTTGATCTCCTGACCTCGTGATCTGCCCACATCCGCCTCCCAGAGTGATGGGATTACAGGTGTGAGCCACCGGATCAGACATTTTTCACATAAAACTCTAGATTTCTGACCTCTGAGAAATCCAAAGATTTGGCACCAGTGGCCCCACCTTTCAGAAAAGGAGCATAAACGAGGACTCTAGCACTGAGTTACCTAAGTGTTCCTTGAATACAAGCACTAGTGATAACTCAACAGTCAGTCTAACTGAGATGGCTACTCAGTGACGAATGGACAGGGAGAATGCACAGGGTGGAGCTGGTGGACAAAGACAGGATTCAAGTATGTCCCTGCCAGGATGGAGCCCATGGTGTGAGCTTTCGTCACCCTTCTCCAAATGGTGCTCAATTTAAAACTGATGAATTGTATGTATATTTCTGGAATTTTCCATTTATGTCACAATGCTTACATCATTCACCTCACTTCATCTTATTATGTAAGCATTTTATCTCTTCACATCATCACAAGAAGGGTGAGTATAGTACAATAAAATATTAGAGGGAGAGAAAGAGACTACATTCACATAACTTTTATTACAGTATATTGTTACAATTCTTCTTCTCTCTTTTTAGTTATTGTCACTAATCTCTGTGCCTACCTAATAAACTAAACTTAATCATAGGTATGTATGCATAGGAATAAAAAATAGTTTATATAGGATTTGGGTACTATCCACGGTTTCAGGCACCCACTGGTGATCTTGGGACGAGCCCTGCAAGGGTAAGAGGGGATTGTTGTAATCATATTTCGATTGCATTTGTACTCTTATTTTCCTTTGGCAGGAAAATATCTCTTACATTATTTGCCCTCCCTCATTTGCATGTCCTGCAAGTGTTTGTTCGCATTGTTGATCTGCTCTTCTCGACCTGCTTCCATTTCAGGAACCAGTAAAAAGAGGATAGATACATTGAACTTCACTTTTCCCTGACATGTTATAATCAAATGCCCAAACCTTCTGACTAGACTTTCTGTTTAGCCTTTAACTTCAATGATGTTTTTTGCAAACTCATACTCATTCCCAGATCTTCGGGACGTGGCATTGCCATTTTAGATCTAGGTGATTTTTCCCTATGCATGTGTTTTTTTCTCTATTAGTCAATATACTTTTCATTGCTATAATGTGAGAATGTTTTTGAAGTCTTATTTTCTATGCCCCATTTTTGGTGGGCATTACTCATTCTATAAAATTCATCAAAACTGCAATTTTATTGATAAGGTTTTTTCTTCCTTATTAAAAATAGGAAACTTGGTGCTCTATGTGTAATCAAACAAAGCTGAAAGACTGAATAAAATGAAAAGCATAGAGTAAGCCTTTTGTATTATTCCGTTCACACACTGCTAATAGAGACATACCCAAGACTGGGTAGTTTAATTGACTTACAGTTCAGCATGGCTGGGGAGGCCTCGGGAAACTTACAATCATGGTAGAAGGGGAAGCAAACATATACTTCTTCACATGGCGTTTGGCAACAGAGCATGTGAGGGGAACCACCTTTTATAAAGCCATCAGTTCTTGTGAGGCTTCTTCACTATCATGAGAACAGCACAGGAAAAACCCATCCCCATGATTTAGTTACCTCCCACTTGTTCCCTCCCACATCACGTGGGGATTATGGGAACCACAATTCAAGATGAGATTTGGGCAAGGACACAGCCAAATCATATCATTCTGCCCCGGCACCTCCTAAATCTCATATCTTCACATTTCAAAACCAATCATGCCTTCCCAACAGTCCCCCAAAATCTTAACTCATTTCAGCATTAACTCAAAAGTCCACATACCAAAGTTTCATCTGATACAAGGCAAGTCCCTTCTGTCTAAGAGCCTGTAAAATAAAAAGCAAGTTAGTTAGTTCTTAGATATAATGGGGGTACAGGCATTAGGTAAATACACGTGTTCCAAATGGGAGAAATTGGCCAAAATGAGGGGGACAAGGACCTATGCAAACCCAAAATTTAGTGGGGCAGTCAAATCTTAAAGCTCCAAAATGTTCTCCTTTGACTCCAAGACTCACATCCAGGTCACGCTGATGCAAGAGGTGGGTTCCCATGGTCTTGGGCAGCTCCACCCGTGTGGCTTTGCAGGGGACAGCCTCCCCCCCAGCTGCTTTCATGGGCTGGTGTTGAGTGTCTGCAGCTTTTCTAGGCACACAGTGTAAGCTGTTGGTTGATCTACCAATCTGGGTGCTGGAGGATGGTAGCCCTCTTCTCACAGCTGCACTAGGCAGTACCCCAGTGGCACTCTGTGTAGGGTTCCCACCACACATTTCCCTTCCACACCGCCCTGGCAGAGATTCTCCATGAGGGCTCTGCCCCTGCAGCAAACCTCTGCCTGGACATCCAGGTGTTTCCACACATCCTCTTAAATCTAGGTGGAGGTTCCCAAACCTCAGTTCTTGACTTCTATGCATGGGTTGGCCCAGTACATGTAAGCTGCCAAGACTTGGGACTTGCACCCTCTGAAGCAATCACCTGGGCTGTACATTGGCCCCTTTCAGCCATGGCTGGAATGCAAGGCACCACTCCCGAGACTGCACAAAGAAGCAAGGCCCTGGACCCAGCCCATGAAACCATTTTTTCCTCCTATGCCTCTGGGCTTGTGATGGGAGGGGCTGCTTTGAAGACTCTGACGTGCCCTGAAGACATTTTCCCCGTTGTCTTGGCGATTAACATTTGGTTCCTCATTACTTATGCAAATTTCTGCAGCCAGCTTGAATTTCTCCTCAGAAAATGGGTTTTTCTTTTCTATCATATTGTCAGGCTGTAAATTTTCTGAACATTTATGGTCTGCTTCCTCTTGAACGCTTTGCCACTCAGAAATTTCTTCTGCCAGATACCCTAAATCATCTCTCTAAAATTCAAGGTTCCACAGATCTCTAGGGCAGGGGTAAATGCCACCAGTCTCTTTGTGTAGAGAGTGACCTTTAACTCCAGTTTCCAACAGTTTATTCATCTCCATCTGAGACCACCTCAGCCTGAACTTTATTGCCCATATCACTATCAGCTTTTTGGTCAAAGCCATTCAACAAGTCTCTAGGAAGTTCCAAACTTTCCCACATTTTCCTGTCTTCTTCTGAGCCCTCCAAACGCTTTCAACCTCTGCCTATTGCCCAGTTCCAAAGTCACTTCCACATTTTCGGTATCCTTACAGCAATACCCTGCTCTACTGGTAACAATTTACTGTATTAATCCATTTTCATGCTGCTGTGAAGAAATATCTGAGACTGAAATTTATAAAGGAAAGGAAGTTTAATGAACTTGCAGTTCCATATGGCTGGGGAGGCCTCACAATCATGGCTGAAGGTGAAGGAGGAGCAAAGGCACATCTTAAATGGCAGCAGGCAACAGAGCATGTGCAGGGAAACTGCCCTTTTATGACACCATCAGTTCTCTTGAGACTTATTCACTATAGTGAGAACAACATGGGAAAAACCCATTCCCATGACTCAATTACCTCCCAACCAGGTCCCTCCTATGCTGTGTCAGGATTATGGGAGCTACAGTTCAAGATGAGATTTGGGTGGGGACACAGTCAAACTATATCACCTATAAAAAAAGAAGATCATTCAATATGTTAATCAAATGCTCCTATATTTTTCTTAATAAACATAGAAAGAATATGGGGGCATCTCATATCATTGAAGTCACAAATATCTATTAAGCCTTCTCATTGATTGGGGCTTAAAATCATGCAACAATTGTAAATTTTAAGAGCCTGGAAAAGGTTTGGTTTTCTTGTTTGTTTTTTGTTGTTGTTGTTGTTGTTTTTAACAATTAACCATGCATCTTCTTTTAAGGGAAAAACCATTAAATACTTTTTTATGACTTTCTACTTTGCTTTTTTGTTTTAATTTTACTCTCCAGTGGGCCACATCCTACAATCAGTGCTAGGAGGGGAACAGGTATAAGGATTAAAAAAAAAGAATTAGAGGGAGTTGTATGAAGAGAGAGAGGATGAGTGATGTGTTTCCCTTGAATATTTTATTTTCTTAATTGAAAAGAAAAGTGCTTAGGGCCCAGGGATACTAAATCATTTTTTGCATGTATAAAGCAGATCAGTGAACCTGTTTATTTTTTCCTAAAACTACTTACCCTACTGTGTGGAGAGGTAACCAAAAACATCTATTTCATTATCCTTCTGTACGAACCTCAGCATAAAGGAAAACATATATAAGACACTGTTCTTAATAAAGATCTCTTTAGAAGCCAGGAAAAATAAGTAGAGGACTTAGTTTTTTCCAGTATGAAAGAATGAACTAAATTTGTAAAGAAAGTTCTTAGGGTATACAAAATCATCAGTTAAGTAATAGGCCTATAATAAATAAGATATATTCACCCTGATTTTTTTCTTCTCTCTCTCTCCTTTTTGTAGCAGCCTCCACAATGTACTGTATATATTCAAAAGGAAGTTTTCTTTTTATTTGTCCTGACAAAAACTAATGCAATCATCTCAGTGGGCTGAGAGTTTCCCCAACAGATATATTATGACAGTCTGCTGTCAGGCTTATGATTGCAATAATTAGTCTATTAATTTAAAAACCAAAATGGACAAATTTGTATCTTATATCCTATTATTGTATCTTTATATCTCTTGCATATACATTCTTAGGGATTAACTTTCCAGTTAGGATATTTTAACATCTGGATTTTATATTTAGATGTCTTAAAACATATTTGTAATGCATACCTTGATGGATATATGTATATACGTATCTTGCCTTTTTATGAAGAGCTCTTTACCTCCTCAACTTTTAAATCCACTTTTGCTACCTAGTTGAACAAAGTTAATAATTAATTCCAGCTTACTCAAATTCATGTCACTGCTAACACTTGAAAAAAAAAGATGATTCCTAATTTATTAGCCTCAGTTTTTAGCTAAAATTAAACTACCTTCTCTGTACAATGAGAATATTAAAAGGAATCATTAGATCCATTTTTAATTACTTAAAAATAAAATGACCTTTTTCTTCCCTCTTTACAACTCTTACCAAAAAGAATGTCATGAGGTAACTTCTAGTAGAATTTATCTTACCATTTTGATTAAAATCCATATGTTGCATTTGACATGAGTAAAATATTTAAAATACAGATTCAATTTATAAGAAAAAAAGATTGCTGAAGTGAAGGCTTTAGAGATTTCTTTTGAATTTTACCTTTATTACATTAATTGAATTTGGTGAAGAGCTCCATTCTGAAATATTATTCTACTCAATTTGGAAAACATGTATCACATAATTGGCCTTAAAACTGGAAAGGACTTGAGGATATGACTCATGTGGTATAGAGATCATATCAGTCCAGGGAAGCTTAGTTATAACTAGATAATTCGTTCATGTTGCTTTATTCATTTAACAAATATTTACCATTACACACGTGACCGTACTAAGAGGATTGGCAAAGCCCTTCCCGCATGTAGCAGCTCATGTTCTAGTTGGGGAGTCACAAAATAAAAACATAAAAAATAATCATTGCAAGTTCTGATAACTGCTATGAAGGAAATAAATAGGGTACTGTGATTGAGAATGGAGGGAAATCATTTATTTAAAGTAGGGAGAGGAGGCATGTCTGTCAGAATAATATTTTAGACAAGCTGAAATGTGAATACTGGGGAGGACTCAAATGTAGAAAAGTCTTTCCTACAGAAGAAACAGAGCGCAAATGTCCTCAGATTGGGGAAAATTTAGAATATTTTAAAAACTGATAGAAGGCTAGTGTGACTACAGCCAAATGACAGAGGATGCAGAGAAACTTTAGGTTCATTGAGAAAGGGTCCCAGTGCCAGAGTTAGCAGTCTTTTAGACAATGGTAAGAAGTTTTAATTTTGAGTATTGATTAATAGATTGTTGTTATGCAAAGAAAAAGATACTATATGAAGGATGGCAGGAGTGAGGGAATGTTAATCTAGTTTCTTTAGTGAAAAAAAAATCATTCTCTAAAATTCCACTGTTTTATCTAATTATTGCTAGAGATCTTTATGATTAGAAATAATCTGTAGGTTGGGCACAGTGGCTCAAGCCTGTAATCCCGGCACTTTGGGAGGCCTAGGTGGGTGGATCGCTGGAGGTCAGGAGTTTGAGACCAGCCTAGCCAACATGGTGAAACTCCATCTCTACTGAAAATACGGAAACTAGCCTAGTGTGGTGGCGCGTGCCTGTAACCAGCTACTCAGGAGGCTGAGGCGGGAGAATCACTTGAACCTGGGTGGCGGAGGTTGCATTGTGTGAAGATTGCAGCCACTGCACTTCCAGCCAGGCTTAAAAAAACCAAACAAACAAAAAAAAAAAAAAAAAAAAAGAAAGAAAAGAAAACAGTCTGTAGAATTACAAACAGAATCCAAAATTTTTTTTTTGAAGTTTGTAAGATTGGCCATACACAATCATAATTATTAGATTTTCACAACACTCAATAAAAATTGGCCTTTAATGAAGGAATATAGGAAATATGTCAATCATTCCATTTAGCATGAGTCAAAATATAATGGTGATTCCTCCGTCATACTTCAAATATGTAAGTTAATTTTATGTTTTGGGCACTTTCAAAATGCTTTAAAAGGAAACATTTGAAAAACATGTAATCAGGTGTGGCATAATCTGACAATGATATTCTCATATCTCCATAAAATATTTAAAAATTCTACCATAATTCTACAATAAATTATTTACAAGCGATAAATGTCATATAAACCTTGAAAACAGAGCAGTAAACTTCATAAACTCACAGTTTCATTTTTCACTTATAGAACTGCTTTTGAATTCATATACTTAATATTAAAGAGCTTATATTGTATTGCTTACATTTATTCTTTCACAAAATAATGATTGTCATACTTTATCACAAGGTACTATTGTATTTTTATATGGAGCAGCTTTTGATATTTTTAGAGTTATTAGAGGGCACTTATAATATCACCAGTCTCTGGAAATTAATTCTTTGTGTTCATCCAAATTTTATAAAAATAAATTAAGCGGTCAGGTGCCGTGGCTCACGCCTGTAATCCCAGCACTTTGGGAGGCCGAGGCGGGCGGATCACGAGGGGTCAGGAGGTCAAGACCATCCTGGCTAACATGGTGAAACACCGTCTCTACAAAAAAATACAAAAAATTAGCCGGACGGGGTAGCGGTCGCCTGTAGTCCCAGCTACTGGGAGATTGAGGCAGGAGAATGGCGTGAACCCGGGAGGCAGAGCTTGCAGTGAGCTGAGATCGCGCCACTGCACTCCAGCCTGGGCAACAGAGCGACTCCGTCTTAAAAAAAAAAAAAATTAAGTATACTTTTACGAACTTAATATTTAAAATAAACACAATAATTGCTTCCATTTTCTCTAAATATTGTAATAAAATGGTAATTTTAGATTGAAAGCATGTAGTGTATATTTGCTGATTTTAATCTAATATTTATAACAGACATTTGGAGATAAAAGAATACAAGTACTATGTAACAATGATAGCATCCAAGTAAATAGAATGAATTTTTTTTTTATCATGGGTGTAGAAAAGCAGAACTAAATTACATTAAAAGTAAGATAGTTGGAGAAAATATAGTTGGGATAGTTTAAAATCTCTTTGCTATGATAGCAGGATTTTAGGATATTTCTTCTATAGTTGAGAAAGAGAAGTGAAACATTCCACTGAACTGCATAAATATTTTCTACTGTTGCTTTAAAACATATTTACTTACTTCACATTCCTCTTTCAGGCCACCTATCTTTTTTGTAATTTATATTTATATCCCATTGTAGGGACTAAGTCAATTAAATAGCCAAAGGTTAAAAAAAACTATAGTAATAACTTTGTAAAAATTATACTAAATTTTCTGTATAATTTCAATAAATGTTTACAAAATGCTTAATATAATCTGGTTCCCACTGAACACAATGTATGCCCAGTCACCAAATAATTTGTGCAATTCAAAATTGTCTTCTTTTGAATTATAACTTTTTAATAAAAATATGGTTTTGTTTCACGTTTTTAAAAAGATGATGAAATGCATTTCTGTTTTGTGCTAAGTGTCCTTTATTTTATATATGCAAAGGAATGTCTAGAAGTAGAGAATTTAAAAGAAATTTGTCAGACATTTTCACTTCTTTTCTGTATTGTTAAGGAAAATTGTTTTGATTAATAATGATACTCAAGAAATTTATTTGGCTCTTTCATTAATTTTTATAATAAGTGAGTGCACAAATTTGAATTATGTTTCATTTCTTACTCTGATTAAATTTATTTTATGTACTTCAACTATATGCTCTATCTATAGCTATCAATCACTATAGTAAAAATACCATTTTATATCTCCAAGAAAACATTAGCAAATTCTCCTTCTGATCAATTAAAAAGTACCATCATCTCATTTTCCTCCAAGAAATGTAAAAGTACTGCTTGTGTTAGTTATCTGTTACCCTATATCAAATTACATGAAAAAATATCAGCTTAAAATAATAAACAACTCAATAATAAATGATAAATGAACCAATTTTAAAAATGGGCAAAAGATTTGAATAGTCATGTGCCCAAAGAAAGTATAGGAGTGACTAATAGCCACAGAAAGATGCCCAACATCATTAGTCATTAAAGAAATAAAAGTGAAAACCACAATGAGATACCTCTTCACGCTCACTAGGGTGGCAAATTTCAAAAGGCAGATAATAACAAGTTTTGGCAAGGATGTGGAAAAGTTGGAACCATCATACACTGCTGGTGGGAATGTAAGCTGGTGCAGCCTCTTTGGAAGACAATCTGGCAGTTCCTCAAAAAGTTAAACATAGAGTTACCATATGATCCAGCAATTCCATTCCTAGGCATATACCCAAGAGAAATGAAAGCATATGTCCACACAAAAACTTATAAATGAATATTCAAAGCAGCATTATTCACAATAGCCAAAAGTGGAAACAGCTCCAATACCTATCAACTGACGGGTAGATAAATAAAATGTGTTCTATTATATGGTAAATTATTACATGGTAATAAAAAATAAATGAAATAGTAATACATGCTACAACATGGGTGAATCTTAAAAATATTATTAAGTGAAATTAGTCGCAAAGACCACATATTGTATTATTCCATTTGTATGTAATATGCACTGTAAGAAAATGTATACAGACAGAGGAAGATCAATGGTTGCCTAGGCCTGAAGGGTAGGAAGTACCAGGTGGGAGGCAAGAGAGTGGGGAGTGGCTGCTGTTAAGTACAGACTTAGTTTTAAGATAATGAAAATGTTCTAAAATTAGATCTTGGTGATAGTTGCACAACTCCGTAAATATATTTGGAAACAATGAATTGGACACTTTAAACTGGCAAACTTTATATATATGTCAATAAAGACAATACAGTAAAAACAATAAGCAATTATTATTTTACTTTTTTGTGTGTGGTATGGACTTAGGAACTTGGGAGCAGCTTACCTGCTCTGTTCTATAATAGCTCAAGATTTTCCATGTTGTTGCAGTGAAGATATAACCAGGAACTGCAGCCACTTGAAGGCTTGATGTGGCTGAAGGAGTTACTTCCAGTACGGATTACTTACATGGCTGTTAGCAGGGGGCCTCAGTTCCTTGCTGTGTGAGTCTCTTCTCTCCATAGGACTGCTTGAGTACCCTCATGACATGACAGATGGCTTTCCCCAGAGCAAGAAATGCAAAAGAGAAAGGCAGGAGTCACAATATCTTTTGGGACCAGCCACAGATGCCACATACTGTCACTACCACAATATCCTAATTGCTACACTAGTCAACCTTATTCACTGTGGGAGGACACTACATAAGTCTATACATTTTAGGAGGTAGGAATCATTGAGGTACAGCTTTAACCATATTGTTTTTCAATTTTTATATTTTTTGAGACCGGGTCTTGCTCTTATGTCCAGACTAATAGTACATTGGTGCGATCATAGTTCATTATAACCTTGAACTCTTGGGCTTAAGTGATCCTCCTGCCTCACCCTCCCGAGTAACTAGGACTACAGGTGCACTAGGCTCATCTAATATTTTTTATTTTTATTTTTATTTTTGTAGAGACGGGACTCATTATGTTGCCCAGAATGGTCTCAAACTTCTGGCCTCAAGCTCTCCTCCTGCCTCAGCCTCCCAAAGCACTGAGATTAGAGGCATGACCCACCACTTGCAGCCACGAACGATATTTTTTAACTTCAAATCAAAATACATTGTATAATAAAACAATATTTGAAATAGGGAGTCTGCTATATTACTAATAACTTTTTAAGCCAGACTTCTCAAATTCGCTCACTCTTTAAAATAAATCCATTGGAACTTATCATATTTGCTATGCCTGTCATAAATGAATCTCATGCTATTCCTCCCACATTCCTAAGGAATTTCATAAAGATTTTTTTTTTATGGCAACTGAGATGTGCAGAGAGTTG
The DNA here is from genome assembly GCF_000001405.40 of Homo sapiens. NCBI lineage: Eukaryota > Metazoa > Chordata > Mammalia > Primates > Hominidae > Homo > Homo sapiens. The sequence continues at coordinate 165,327,157 of NC_000005.10, forward strand.
TTAACAACTACTTAGGATTTGTTTAATTGGATAAGATAAACAAGGTTACTTAAAATAGTGGTTTCTAAATTTCAGTGCTCTAAGAAAAGCAATTATTTAGCAGGATTTTATTTACATATTTCCCGCTATGGTTTACAGACTGAAAAGCTGCTGACATTTGTATTTTTACTAATTATGTTTTTTAATGGTACTTGAATTTAGTTTAGGGTAACTAAATATTAATACATAGAATTACAGGCAACTGTGTTATAGACAATGCATGTTCTTAAGTCTTTCTCTTGCTCTTATACCAAGTGAACAAAATGATACTTTACATTTATATGCTGAACTGAATTACAGAATCTCTCTGTTTTTTTCTCTCACTATTTTCTGTACATCCTTCAGGATTTACCGCATCATTTCCTCCCTTACCTCCAAAGTTTTTGGTTCACCTCTGTGCTTCCACTACAATCCACGCTATCACTCTGTCATTTCTGAATTTTGATGAATGACGCGGCCTAACATCTAGACTGAGGCTCTTTGCAGGCTTGTGTCCTTTTTCTCTGAATCTCCAAACCTAGCTTAATGTCTTGCAAATTATAGACACTCAGTAAATGTGGGTTGTTTACTTAGAGTTGGAAAGGATACACAATGTTCTGTCTTCCAACTTCCTGCACTAATGCAGAAATGCCTTCTACAGCTATCCTGGCAGATGGCATCTAGCTTCTGTTTGGATAAATTCATTGATGAGGAAGATGCTTGGCACCTTATTAAAGAGCTCATGAGAAAGTTGGGATTTTTGTGTAATTTTTAAATGATGTTGAAGTGAAATATGTCTCTTTGACTTGTAATTAATCCTACTTATAAGTTTTGTAGCAATATAATATATGTTGAACACTTCAGAATGGTATCATTTCAAATATTTGAGCGGCTCTGTTGTGACCCCAAATTATATTATTTAGCCTTGATGTTCACAAGTCTTGCTTCACTTTTTTCTTATGAAATAGTACTCATGCTTCATCACATGTTATTGTTATCCTCTAGATTAAGTCTAATTCAGCCAGACAGTGTCATGTTGTACTGGTGCCACTTTCTGGTTGAATTAAATGGCCCTTTATGGTGGAGGATCCATGTACAGAGCATAAAAGGCAAGATAAAAATAGTAAATATCTGTTGAGATACGACTTTTATACATGATTTAAAATCTGTTCATCACAGTCATAATTGTAGTGGTCAACTAACCCCCACTAGAGATTTCCCAAGTGAATGATTAGAAAGTAGTATACATTTAATAATTTTATAACTCTACTTTCAACTATAAGACTGTTTAAAATAGGTTTTGTCCTTCTTGATGGAAGCAAGGGGCAGGCAGAGCAATCAACATAATAAGGGGCCACAGCCTGGAAGACAATCTGATTTTCAAAATCCATCTCACCAGACGAATAGCTTTTACCTAATCTCATTCCTGGGGTTTCCTTCAACACAGCAACCATCCCAAATTGAAAAAGTAGGTATTAAAGAAGGTATCCATGAACAGTTTGCTTACACTAAAACCACATCTGGAGGTAAGGGAAGCTTTCTGCAGTACCAAACAAATTTCAGAAGAGGACATCTCAGTATAATTTCTATTGTGTAAAAGCCATGCCCATTCTCTTGTAACCTTATCCTTTGTCTCCTGCACAAACCTTTCCTAAACCTATCTCTGAGTCTTCAGGCAAGATGAAATGAGCTAGATTCTGTTCTGTTTGGCTCTTCATCAGTGTTCAATTCATTTGCATATAGCTTATGTTTGTAATATCATTATCATATGGAGAGAGCAGCCAGGACTAAAACATAAGGGATGGTAGCTACACAATTTAATCCCATTGAAACTCTCTTCTTTATTTAATGAAACTCCCAGTGTGACTCATCTTATTCCATAACCTCCTTGTCCCCTCCTTTCCTGTTCTCTCAACATCTGCTTTGAATTCACTAACAACATTTTTTATGCTACTAGATGTAAAACTTTTTGCTTCTTCAATATATTAGATTGCCCTCCTGACAAATACTAAATTATAAATAATATATAAGAAAAAATATTTCATTGCTATAATGTTAAGAATAATAATCATGGTTAACATTTATGAGCATTTATGAGCTAGGCAGTTTGTTTACATGTATTATATGTATCAACTCACTTTCTTCTAACAAGAACCATCATGGAATGTGTCAGTATCGTTCCGTTATAACAAAACTAAGGCTGGCAGAGTTGAAGCCAAGTTTCAAACCCAGGCAGGCTGACTCCAGAGCTCCTGCTATCAACCTATATAAGAATTATTTTAAACTTTGACCATATCACATATTTTCTAACTTTGTTTCAAATGCAAAATGATGAACATAAACATATAATCATAATTTCTATTTACCTTTTTTCAATTTATTTCTAAAAATAGTTGAAAAGAAAATAGCTCAAACAAAACCTTATTGGTACCTAGCTAATCTTCAACAGTGTTACACTGAGCCCTTTCATAAACATGCAACACAAATCATTCATGATCTAAATTCTATTAATAAGGAAATGTATTGTCATGTATAACAAGGATTATAGCACTCTGGGCATGATTCATGGCTCATCCCTCTTTTTAGCATTTCTTGTGTTTTTGTGCTTTGCTAAGTTTTTTTTAAAACATCAAGCTGGAAAGGAAATGTCTCCTCCTGTTATAAAAGTCACATTTAAACATGACAATGTTTAGAAAGCTGTTTCTTTCTGGCTTCCCTATTAGGGCAGAAAGTTTTCCCTGAAGTTAGCCAGTCATGTATTTGTCAAGAAAAATGAGAGTACAATCATTGGCTTAGAACTAAAGCATCTGAGGAGAATTAGATGGCAGAGAATTTTTTAAATGAATATAATAATTGGTAAGAGACATATTATATTTAACCAAATCTAAGATACCATTAATTCTAAAACACATTATTTAAGTGCCACTAAGAAATAAAATATTTTTTCAATTAAACTATGTCCTATCACTGATTATAAGACATCTTCTTATTTCAAAGATATTAAAATGTGAAAAAAGCACATCTTAGACTCAATGGAATACAGTATTATATTACTTTTTTTTTTTTTTAACAAACGAGAAAACTAAAGTTCCGAAATACCAGCTTTGACAATGCCATAGAAACAGAACTTGAACTCAGGTTTGCTTTTTAACTTTACATTCAAAGTTTGCCTCAAAGGGCTTCTTTTTCCTTGGTCTTTTTTCCTCTCTTTATCTAACTTCTGAGCCAAAATATGACTTTGATTCTCATTAGAAGGTCCTATGTGTCTTATACCAGCCATATAATCAAAGCAGCCACTGGGAGTTTCCTGTATATATACTGTCTGAAGCCAAGCCATGGTTCCGGCTCTCTTTCAGTGAAAGTCTGGTTGGGAATATAAACACACCTGCTCCCCAGAAAGGAAGTTCCAGGTAATGAGATGTAACAACAGGAGGGAGAAAATCCTACTGATTTAGCAAAACTGAAAATGTCCATCATAACTTCTAGGGTGAAAAAATCTTTAAACACTAATAAAGGATATAAGAAACAGAACTTAAGTATACTGTGGATCCATATGGATGCTGGTAGAGTGGCATTTGAAAACAGTAGATGAGAGAAATGAATTCTGAAGTCAGCCTGTCTTGGTAAAGGAATAACAATTGCTTATTGAAGTGATGGTTGATGTATTGAAGAAGCTAAGTGCTGAGGGTCTTAGCTTCTTCACTGAAAAATAAGGATAATAACTGGATCACTTCATAGAATTGTTTAGGGAATCAAACAAGCTAAGTGTAAAGAGCATTGTATAGTGTTTTGCACGTAGTAAGACCTCAATAGTGAAAAATGATCAAAATGATAAGGACAGACCTTCCTTTGATAGTGCGTAGCATTGTCGCCTCTGTATTCTTCTCACAGTGTTTCTGATCCACTATCATGGAAAAGAAAAGTTATATTCAGAAGTGAAATTCGTCATTGCAAATATCCAGAATCCTAAGCTGCTAAACATTTGACAGACTTGATTTAAAATCCTATATGTCCCACCTATAAGCTATGTGACTTAAGGCAATTATTTAACTTTAATATGCCTCATTTTCTTCATCTTTGTAATGAGATAAAATGTGTAACTCTTAAAGTTAGTCTGAGGTCTAATTGAGGTATCGTATGTAAATCTTCTAGCACAGTACTTTTGACACATAGTAGACATTTAAAAAAGATCCCACTCAATTTTTCTGTAGAATTGACACCGACAAACTTAGACATTTTTTGTTTATCTAATTAAACCTCTCTTGCCTAAAGCACCCAAGATCAAAATGAATAAAAAGCTAATTTCTATTTAAAAATGTCTGTTTCTAGGGTAACAACAGTATTTGTTGTACTTTCTCCACAAAATCATATATTGATAATATTGTAGTTTAATTTTAATTTGGGAGATGTGCGTGGCAATCTGAACACTATTTGTAACATATTTTAGTAGATAAAATTGTATCCTAAATCCTAATACTCTATTTTCGATAAAATGTTGGAGCATTGCCTATTTTTAACTTGGAATTCTCCTATACAGTATATAATTTCAAATAAAATACAGCTTATTTGATTTTAATCATGTTATTGTAAGTTTTGATTGTGTATTCTTAGACTTTATCCCCATTATCACAATAGTGTGTAGAATTAAATGACCCTCTTAAGAATTCAGTTTGATTCCAACAAAAGAATATTATAATAAAGATGTTGCCATTGAAGGAAATAAACCAGGTGAAATGAATTTTCTATTTTATGGATTTAAATGAGCTAAAACATTTTTTATTATAGAGTGAGAAGTAAAAATAGAGTCGTGTAGAAGTGCTAGACATCAAACTAACCTCCCTCGTTAAGCATCTGTGTTTGGAACTACTAAATAATTACTTGGGGATGTAAAATACTGCCCACTTTCACTTTTCCTCTAAGAGTTTCCCACTTACATCTTCATATTAAAGATGCATTTTTAAGTAGTGAGAAAAGCACAGGCATTTAGGATCTGAATCTCTTAATTCTTATCCTGGTTCCTGGAAAAGATACACACACACACACACACGGTGCATATTAAGAGTCACAGACCACGTGTGCAACTCATTACCAAATGAAAGGCCATAAGCTCTTTATAAGCAGTAGTGAAATTGTGATCACTGCTTGATTATCCATGGCATTAGTATTGGACGGTGGGTATTGACAGATATGACACTACAATGGATTTTCCAGGGAGAAAGCTTTATTAATAGTGTAGCCAAACATAATGAAAGCTCATGAAGTTTACTCCCCATGCTGTTTCTATTCATCTGTTCACTACAAAGCTAGAGTCAAATGTCTTATGCCTAAATTTGTAAACTTTTTAATATCATTTTCCCTCCATCCAAAGCCAATTCTAGCTGGTAAGGATCTATCCAGATAAATCATAAATATTTCCTTTGCAACTCTTTAGAAAACATTGCTTCTAATAAAATACACTGCACAATTATCTCACACCATCAAGGAAGTCCTCTGGTGAAACTGAGCATACAGATTCCTGGATGGGATAAAGGTTATTATTTCTAAATACTTGTGGAAATGTTTTGTACATATATTTCTTCTTGTTTAAAGTGTCCTTTTCCTACCACCATTCAACCATATTGAATTTTGCTGGCTTCAATCTTTCTTTCTCCATGATTGTTCCCTTTTTTTTTTTTTGACAACTTCCTCCTCCATTTATTATTTGTAACCTGTTATTAACCTATATAACATAAGGTTAATTCATCCATTTACCAATTGTTTGTTGCATGCTCACCATGTGAGTTGCCCAGGTTTCTCAGTATTGTAGATAACGTACAGTGTAGACAGTATAGATAGAAAAGGACTCAAACTCAAAACACTGACATGTTCACCCCAGGACTTGCTCTGGCATAGTCCCTGCTACCAGAGTAAAAATCGCTACATGATCAGATAGCTATCTCATTTTCACCTTTCGTGTTCTCTGTTCAAATAGCCTCTCCACCCAACCTCAAATATTCCCCTTCAGCACATTCAGATGTTTCCATCTTGGTCCCAGCCGATTTTGCTACCTCCTACTCCACTCTAATTTTTTTACATTTCCAGCAAGTGGCATGGCCCATACTTTGCAGGAGTCTAAGAACTTAAGCTGCAGACACTATCTCTGTTTATCCTCCATCAAGCTCACTGTCTTCTCATCAACAATAATGGACTTTCTCTGTCTCCTTCATAGTCTGGACCAGTCACCCTAAGTGCATCAGTATGCACTCGTAGAGCAGATTCTCAGCTCAACATTTATACACGGACACTCTGGACATCTGGAATATTCCATTTACCTTTTGAAATTGTTGAAAAAAAAGCTTAGCTTTTAGACAGGCTTTGAGGGTGCTTTTGATATGAATCTGATTGAATAAACATTTGTTTTCCTTGGTTTTACTTTTGACCCTAAAGAAGTTAAAAAAAAAGAAAAAGGAAGTCATGTAATAGATTTAATAATAGATGTTCCATTTAAGATACCTTGAAATGTCCTCTACTGGGATCTAGTATCTTGATATAAACTAGAAAATACTCTTTACAAAAACTTCATAGACTTCTGATTATGTAATATCTGTGGGTTCTTCACAAGTACTTATTTCCTGAATTCCTATGAATTACTTAACTGTAACCTACAAAAGCTAAAATTAGCATTTCTAACTTAATTTTCTTGAATAGTCTAACTAGCTCCCATGCTTTGTCATTATTGAAAAATTGATACTGCATTTTTACACAGTAGCTAATGAGAATTCCTACAACATTCCCATTTTCATGAAGCGCATTTGGTCATTCATGCGCCTTTGGCATTGTTTTAGGTTCAGCGTGATTTTCAAATGTAACTTCTTAAATTTTGATTCTATTAGTTGAGTTTCACCATTCTCTGTTTATTTTGCTGCTTGGTGCTCCATTACCTCATGCCACACAGTGAGGCATCTATGTATTACTTGTTTTAATAAATAAATAACAGCAAAAGGCAATAACAACTATAAACTAGCATTTTCTTGAGAACTTACCATGTGCCAGGTACATTGTTAAGCACTTGATATGGATTCCAGAATGTAATTTTACAAAACCATCTGAAAATGGTACTGTCACTACCCCCAGTGTAGGGCTGTGAATAACTGAGGCTTTAGGATTAAATCATGAGTCTCAGCAGACCTAGATAGGAAATCCTAGAGGCCAGGGAGTCTGATTCCAGAGTCAGAGCTCTGAATCACTGTTAAAATAAAATGTTGAGACATGTAGGCGTTAGTGTTCAAAAATTAACCACAGGTTGTTACTAATCTCTGTCGTTAGTGCAGATATAACCACACCTCCCTCCCAGTCTTCTTGTACAGTGACATTTTACTGCAAATACTCTTTTCTACTGTAAGGGGCACAACATCCAATACATGCTGTGGTATCCCAACTTTGTGATGGTTGAGTATTGGATGAATGGGAAAGCAGGAATGGATGGGATATGAAGTGTTTTCCCTGACTAAAGTCAAAAGTTTAAGACTATGGTATCTTCAGTGATACAGTACAACACTTAACAGGTGTGACCTGTAGCTATTTATGACTTGGCCCATCTTTTCTAAACACTTCTCTCACCCTAATCCTCAATATTAGAAATGCAGCAGAGCACAAACCCAGTCCTTCTCTCCTTGTCATCTGTAATTCCTCAGCCTGCACTGTCTTCTTCATAAAATGGATACGTGTCCTGAGGACACAAAATATTTTAAATTCTTTTGTTGGGTATTTCTTCAGGCTTTCTACATATATCAATCAATGTATTGATTAATTGAAAGCTATTTCTCAGAAGCTGTAATTCTAATAATGATACTAAGAACAATAATAAATCATAGAGCATTACTAGAAAGATAAATACAAGTGAAACACACAGCCAACCATCCCCAGACAAGTCTGAATCTCATTGGAAAGAAAAATTCCTTGAAAAAATGTTCCTTTCAGATGTTTTCAAGCATCCTCTTAAAAGTAGAAGTGTCAGTCTAACTCAATGTTTCTCAACTCTGGGTCACCTGGGGAAGCACCAGCATGCGCTGATGCTCCCAGGAAAGCAGATTCTCTGCTGCTGGACCCCCAGGCTGTCAGACGCCCAGCTGTGGTAAGTTTCAGAAGTTCCTCAAGTGGTTCTAATATGGAGCCAGGCTTGCAAAACTGTGCTACTACATATGTGTGAACAGATAGATTGAATGACTGAGGGAAAGAGAGGTTTTGTTTGATAACTGCGTTGAATGAAAAATAGCTATTTTCCCCCCAAAAGCCCTTCTTTTTAACCAAAACTATTGATATTCTTAACCTCATGGCTATGAAAGAATGGTCACAAATATTTTTCACATTCCCCTCAAGATGACTTTATTTCACTTGACTTTTTGTTTTTTACTTACTTAACCTCTGCTCACGAGAAGCTAAATTAGAAAACAGTTGTATGTTAGAAGTTTAAAAACTGTTTAGAAAACGGCAAAGCATTTTTCCCAGGACCCTTCATTACAGCTTACTAAGAGCCCTAGATTTTGTGTGGGGTGAAAGAGTAGATTAATCAGTCTATAAGATCATTTATTTTTTATCCTTTCTCTGGAGGCTATCGGCAAGGGCACCTATGTAGGAAGCTTATTTTTGTAAAGTGAACAATTGTTCTTTAGGAATGAAATTCTATTCCACTGACAAAAGATGTGAGAAAGCTCAGGGTGCCCCTTGAACTGTCTGACACTTCACACAAAAGGTAAATCTGCTAAAAATATTTTTTTAAATACTTGAAATTCTCTCCCAACATTTTCTAAAGTGCCGAAGAATGAGAAATCAACTTCTGGAAAAAGAAAGAACAGAAAGGCTAACAAGCCTCACAAGAAGGCAATCTTCTGAAAAGAATAAAAAAAAGGTAGTTTTCTAAAATAGAAGAACATTATTCCTTCAAAGAAAATGTCTCAAAGCATCCTTAAAAAATATCAGTCCCTGTTAAAAGCAAATTGTGTCACTTTTATCGAAGTAACCACAGATTTGTCAATTTTGTAAATGGCTTGGTTGGGTCATCCAATTTGATACCTGTGGGGATTTCACCATCAGGCATTCTTATCAATTTTTTAATAAATTCCACAGATTGAGAATGGTAAATAATAAATGATATAGAGCTTGCAAAGTCAATATTTAACTTAACATAGAATCAGGGAAACTAACACTATACATATACATAATTTTATGGTTTGAGTTTAAAGAAATCAGGGTCTTTATCATAAAAACTGAAAAGTATAAAAAAGAGATAAAGATATTAAGAGCCATGAAATAAATCACATACCTCATAAGGCTATAAGACACAAGTGGGGCCGGGCGCGGTGGCTCACGCCTGTAATCCCAGCACTTTGGGAGGCCGAGGCGGGCGGATCACGAGGTCAGGAGATCGAGACCATCCCGGCTAAAACGGTGAAACCCCGTCTCTACTAAAAATACAAAAAAATTAGCCGGGCGTAGTGGCGGGCGCCTGTAGTCCCAGCTACTTGGGAGGCTGAGGCAGGAGAATGGCGTGAACCCGGGAGGCGGAGCTTGCAGTGAGCCGAGATCCCGCCACTGCACTCCAGCCTGGGCGACAGAGCGAGACTCCGTCTCAAAAAAATAAAAAAAAAAAAAAAGACACAAGTGGAATTAATCAACTTATCTGAGTAAGAAAGTGCCTGAATGCCAAAAAGAAGTCCCCTAATTTATTGTTAGAATTGGAATATACCAAAGAACACCATTAATATTTAACCAACATGGCTTTTCCAAAATGGTTATTTTGGAAAATAGTGGCAAGTCCTTTAAATAATTAAGTACAAACTTATTTGCAAACAAGTAGAAATAAAGCTAATTATTAAATATGAAGACACAGTTTGGAGGAAAACATTCTAGTAAGATCACAGTAACTGCACTTTAAAAATGCTGATATCTGCCCACTTTTGGTATAAATTTTGGTTTTACTTATGATGAAAACATCAAAGCATAGGGAAGTTAAGTTACCCGTCAGTTTCGTGCTACTGAATCCATAAAATGGGGATTTTTCATGTTAAATGTGTTTTCTTCCGCTACCTAGTTTTATTGGAGGAACACAGGTGGCATCGATTTAAATATTACATATTTGACTACTGTGATTACTAACCTCAACCAATCAGCAAACTACATCCAAAACTATAAGGACTCCTAGGCAAGCAAGCACAAAATGTGTAAAGAGCTATGAACAGTCTAATGAAATTAAGACATTGGTATAAAAGTAATTTTATTATTAGCTCCTGGGGAGAAGATACCCTATCCTAATGTTGCTTGAATTGTTTGTTCTCATAAATCTCAGTTTGGAGAAGCATGACTTCCTTTTCTTAAAACTGTATGCATCTCTGTCGTTATTCCAGATAGTTTTTTAAGTTGAACAGTTTTAGAAATTTAGAAATAAAGAGTCTCCCTGATAAAAATTAGAGTCCATTAAAACAGAATGGGGAAAACAGACTTGTAAGATTAATGGCTTCTGAAGATAATTTTAAATGCAAGAAGGATTGACCATCCACATATTGGTTGAAATCATGAATAGATGAAGGCAGGATGTGTACAATCATGCACCCCATGAGTCTATAATCTTATGGAACCGCATGTAGAATGTTGGTCCCATAAGATTATAATGGAGCTGAAAAATTCCCGTCACTTAGTGACATCATAGCCATTATAACTCATAATGCAACTCATTACTTACATGTTTGTGGTGATGCCAGTGTAAACAAACCAACTGTGCTGCTAGTTGTATTAAGTCTAGCACATATAATTATATACAGTGCATAATACTTGATAATCAATAACTATGTTTCTGGCTTATGTATTTACTGTACTTTTTAACGTTATTTTAGAGTACACTCTTTCTACTCTTTAAAAAGTTAACTGTAAACAGCCTCAGGCAGGTTCTTCAGGAGATATTCCAGAAGAAGTCATTGCTATCACAGATGACAGCTCCATGCGTGTTATTGCCCCTAAAGAGCTTTCAGTGGGACGAGATGTGGAGGTGAAAGACAGTGAGATGGATGATCCTGACCCTGTGTAGGCCTAAGCTAATGTGTGTCTTTTTGTCTTAGCTTTTAGCAAAAAAGTTAAAAATGTTAAACACTGAAAAATAGAATCGCTTAAAATAACACTATAAAGAAAAAAATTATTTTTGTACACCTTTACAATGTATTCATGTTTCAAGCTATGTTGTTGTTACAAGAGTTTAAAAGTTTAAAAAATTAAAGTGTTTATAAACTAAAAAAGTTACAGAGAGCTAAAGCTTATTATTAAAGAGAGATTTTAAAATAAATTTAGTGTATGTAGCTTAAGTGTACAGTGTTTATAAAGTAGTGCACAGTAATGTCCTAGGCTTTCACGCTTTCACATTCACTCCCATTCACTCACTGATTAACTTTCTCAGATCAGCTTCCAGTCCTGAAAACACCATTGATGGTACCATTTTTTAATCTTTTATATCATATTTTTACTGTACATTTTCTTTTCTTTTTTCTTTCTTTCTTTTTTTTTTTTTTTTTGAGTTGGAGTCTCACTCTGTTGCCCAGACTGGAGTGTCGTGGCATGATCTTGGCCCACTGCAACCTCCACCTCCCGGGTTCAAGCGATTCTCCTGCCTCAGCCTCCTGAGTAGCTGGGACTACAGGCACCTGCCACCACACCTGGGTAATTTTTTTGTATTTTTAGTAGAGACAGGGTTTCACCATGTTGGCCAGGCTAGTCTTGAACTCCTGACCTCAAGTGATCCACCCGCCTTGGCCTCCCAAAGTTCTTGGATTACAGGCATAAGCCACCGTGCCCAGCCTACTGTACTTTTTCTAAGCTTAGTTGTATTTAGATACACAAATACTTGCCATTGTGTTACAACTGCTTACAGTATTCAGTACAATAGTGTGCTGTAAGGTTTTTATTCTAGGACCGATAGCCTATACCACATAGCCAAGGTGTATAGTAGGCTGTACCATCTAGGTTTCTGTGAGTACACTACATGATGTTTACGTGATGAAATCACTCAGCAGTGCATTTCTCAGAATGTATCCCCATTGTTAAGTGATGCATGTCTGTAAGCAGATATCCAACTGGATGGGCCCTTCAAGGCTTAGTACTTCTGCCAAATGTACTCTGTTCCCTATCTAATTGGTCCAGGCCCCTATCCTCTGATAATGTTTTCTTTCGCCTCAGTAAGATGTACACCCTCTGTTTGCTCTGACATTTAACCTCTGCAACCCAATACCATAAATCTATTGGTAAGAGTTTTATGTACCACAATGGACTAGTGATTAAGAAAGTCTTTATCACATAAATGTTGTGTAGTGCCTCACACATCATATAAATGTAGGTAGCTGCCTATAGCCTGTACATATAACTGGTCCTGTCCAGGGTTTGTGGCAAGAAACTACAGAGGAATTATGCAAAATTTTGATTAGTGAAATACGGTCAAAGAAAAGGTTTACATAACTACATATATGTAAAACTAGACAAACGTAGCTACCAAGTACTTTGGAGTAAAATCTCTTAGTGGCAGATATACATTTACTTCCCAGCTAGTATCTTCTGCATTTTTTGAGTCAACAACAAGGTGAAATTTAGAATCCAAACCACCAAGTCAATGCATAAAGTAAGTCAATAAGTTGGCATTAAGTGAATGGTTTCAGTAGACATTCAGAAACAAAGGAATTTTTTGGCAGTTAAACTAGATCACCCTTGTCCTCAGTTTTAAATCCTGCAATGGTTTTCATTGCACTAAAAGTAAAAGCCAAACTCCAAGACCTGACCAACAGGTCTCTTGCCTGCTTTTCTGACATTATATCCTATCATCTCCTTCCTTCTCCACCTCCATACCCAGGTCTCCTCCGTCCCATAGCAAGACAGTGGTTCTAGTTGCTGAGTACTTAGAGCTCCTGTTTCTTATTCCTGAACAGCATCCCGTTTTTCAGGTCTCACCTCAAATCCCAAGTCCCAAAAGGGCCTTGCCAAAGCAGTCTCCTCTATTGCTATCACATAACAGTCATTTCTTTATAGCATTTATCTCCACATAAAAATGTCTTGTTTATTTGTTTACATGATTACTCCTGTTTCTTTTCTCTAGAATGTAAGTTCAAGTCCACTGATTTGGCCAATTTTATCTTGTTCTTTATTGTAACGTGGCTTGCAACAGTGTAGGTGCCTAATTCATATTTACTGATTTAATCTACTTTTTAATTTCATATATGCAATTATCAAACATGTATATGGCATTAGTCTGCCCCAGGCATGTTTCTCAACCTCTTATAACTAACATAACAGTCTTATGAGGTAGGCCTGAGAAGTATGCCCATTTACAGATGAAGAAATTGGAGCATAGGGAAGTGAAGTTACCCACCAACGTCAGAAAGCTGGTGAGGCAAAGCAGAGCTTCGAACCTGGACAGTCATGCATGTATTACGGTCTGTGTTATGAGTACAACAGCGTGCCAACGTTGATGTAAGCTATTAAGACAATCATAGGCACAGAGAAGACCTGCAAGGTTTAGGATAGAGCCACAACACAGTCTATAGGTGGAGAAGGTGGCTGGTTTTCAAAAAGTTTCAGAATGTATACAGGCATTAATTCTGTGGCTTCTCTTAAAGCAGTTTCCCCTTGCATTTTAGTCTTCAGCTGTTGGACTCTTGCTTGTTTTCTATATTCTGTTTTCCTGACCTAGTGTCTGAGTGATGGTGTTTTATTCAGGGAAGGGAAGGGAAAAACATCTTAAATTAGCATTTTTTAAATTATGCTTGATGAACAATAGTGTCCCATGATATCTAGATAGGCGTTCCTACCCTCCCTGCCAAAATGTTTCTGTAGTAAGAAAAAAAAAAAAAAAACAAAGTATGACTACAGAGAAGTAAAAGGGCAGAAATAAGAATATTTTGTAATACATACGAGAAAAAAACTAATATGAGTAAATTGTCCCCAATTTGTGAAGCCATATGATGTTTACAAAATGTTGTTTTTATATATTTCCAAGGTCTTTTATATTTATTAGGATGCTTCAGGCTAAATTGAATTTTGAGCGTTAAATGAGATGCCAAGTGACTAATTCTCTAAATTTTTGAAGAAATGAGAGCTGCATTTAAAAATATTTTAAAAGCATTTTTATTCCCATGTTATTATGCTACTTTTTCCTACTTCACCCAAATAGTGGATGCTGATTTGCAGGGTTCTTGTGATGCAAGTTTCCACCTCTTCATTAAGAAAATGCAAATGACTCTAATAGCATTTTCTCTGTGGTCCTGCTTTGCCAGGGCTCCTAAAGAGACTCAGCTGAAATCTAAGATAAACGCCCAACACTACAGGCTGCAGAGCCGGCATTTTATATAAGGGAGACTTACATAGACTATCACCTAAAGTTTAGCTTTTCAACACAGTTATTAATCAGCCTGTTGTGATCCTAGTATTTCTGAATGACACTATTTTCTGTAAGCCAAGCAACCTACACCAAATTAGGAATGGGGACAACGGGGTGGACAAGATATCAAACACGGCCGGAAAACGAATGACCCCTGGAAAACCTGTGAGCTAACCTGAACGCTTGAAATTTTCAAAATGATCAACAGTTGATGTGTGTGTGTTTTGTTGTTTCTGCTGTTCTCTTTCCTTTTCTTCTCCTTCTTCTTCCATTTTACTTCTCCTGTTCTTTACTTGCCAAGTTTCTCATCTGCCTTGTCTATTTTTCCATACAAATCAGTGGCATGATAGTATCTGTTTTAATATCATCTTCCACTTATTATTTAAATACTCTCTTCCTAAGGAGACAGGGCGTGGAGTCCTAATATGTTAACAACAATGAGGAAAGGGCTCCAAGGTGGGGGAGAACAATTGTTCTAAGAAATGGCTAACCACAAAACAAACTGCTTGTACAGCATCCTGTTCCCAAATACCTCTTTCTGCAGGTAGCCCCAGCAGAACGACTCTACCTGCACCTAGCCTCTCCAGCATAACCCTATAAAACTTACCTGCAAGCCCTGCCTCTTGGCAAACAGCCTTCTCTCTGCTGTGTTGCCCACTGCTCTCTTAAAACATATCTTCGTATTTTCTCTAATCAATCTGCCTTTATTTACCCACGACTGTTTTGGTAAATTCTTTCACCTCCCACGACGGCGACCCCAGCCAGTCACACCCATGACATAGAGGATATATTTATTTGAGTTCATACTATAAACCAAAATAGAAATTGGAATTTTCTATTTATAAAATTTCAACTTTGATGAGGAAAACAGAGTGTGAGCAAAATTCCAGTACGTCATCCTTGTCGCTATGTTTTAAGGAGAGAAATAGTTTTAAGCAAACACTTAGAGTCTATTTGCCCAATTAAAATTGCTCTATTGTTTTTATATTTGAATGCCTCAGGGTGGAATCTAAATTATTTTAAAGTTTACTTTTTTTCTGTGTCCTCCTATAGTTTGCCCATCGGTAATCTTCTTTGACAGTCTTTATTTTCCCTTCTAATTCCTATTAGTATTGTGTTTGTTTTTCTCCCTCATTTGTATCACCATCTCCTTTTTTTTTTTTTTTTTAACTTCTTGGCATCTGTTGAGATAACTGCACTACAATCATAATCTGTGTCACAATAATTACTTGATAGGTATTTCTCCATGGATATTTATGTTAGAAATGCTTAGGATCCAAACAAAATGAACCAGCAGCATCTATTGTAGAACCTCTCCTGTGATCTCTCTGATTTAGTGGTGGGAGAAATTTGGGCTGGCTTAATTAACTGAAAGAGAGGGCAAGTGAGGCAGAGTGTCATGTGATCTGAATCAAACCTTTGTATTTAAATGACATATACAGCTAGCAAATGCAGATGGAGAAAATATGTGGAATTCTATCACCATCAACAGATATATGGTGGATTACTAGGAGGACTAGGAAGTGTTATAATATCATGAAAATATTATTCACATGTATTCTTTCAATATACCATGACCAACAGCCTATCTGACCAGGTGCTTGTTTTTTCTTCTTCAAAAATATTACAGGGAAATGAATCAATTCATAATAAGTGGACAAGTGGCTTCATCATGGCAAATTTGAATTTTCTCACCATAAAATAATAACCAGGCTCTCTTCATAGATTTTGTACAAGGATTAAATGAAATTATACATGTAAAACCCTTAGAACAGTGCCAAGAACATGATAATTAAATATATACTTGTTATTATTACTAATTGATATTTATATCAAAATATATTAGGTCATGTGAAAGATCCAGAAATGTGTGGAACTGGCCCTGCCCTTAAGATGTTCTGAATCAAGTTGGGAAATATAGTGTAAATTGCAGAGTACTGGTCAGCATGAAATTAACTGCTAAATCATATGACAGGAAGTATAAATACTGGATAAGATTAGAGGTAGAAATATGCATTAGGGATAGTGTCATTATGGAAGACAGTTGTACCTAAAACAAACATTTTCAAGAGTTCTAAATTATATACTCAATAACAAAAAACTTATATCCTCATATTTAATGTTTCCCATTATGTCTGCCATGATGTACCCTTCATTCCTCCCATATATGCATCTTCTAAATCCAACCCATCATTCAGGACTATTATTGTATAGTGTAATAATTGTTCCCACCCCATAATAATTGCTCCCAACTCCATAGCCATGAAGTTGATTTTCATAAAATGTAAATAGCTTCCTCACAAATTTGGAATAAAATCCAAATCCCTCTCTCAGCTTCCTCAGAAATTTAGAATAAAATCTAAGCCCCTGCAGGATCTTGCCCAGGGCTGTTTTTCCAGCATCATCTCACAGTGCACGCTACTTTGCTCACCTGGCTGGAGTCTTTTTAATTAATTTTGAGAACAAGTCAAATTCTTCCCTGTGCCAGAGACACTTGCATTATCTGCCCCTTTGCCTGGAAAGTTCCATTTCTCTCATTTTCTCATAATTCATTTATTAGCTAGAATATCACAACATTCCTCCAGCCCTTCCTAAACTCCCTACCTTACCCAATCATCCATACTCTATATTTTAGCTCCTGGTTTTCTTCATCACAGAACTTATTGCATTTTTAAAGTAATAAATTTGTTTGTTCAAGAATCTTTTTTTGGTAGCTATTTGTCTCTTTCCTCCAGGAGAATATAAGTTTCCTGAAGGTAGGAAATGCATCTGTCTTATTTACTGTTGGATCACAGAACCACAATAAATATTTATTTTTAAAAGGAACAGATCATTCATTCCAATATTTTCTCTCATTTCTTTCTATGTTCTCTGTTTCTATATGTGTGAAGCAGGGTTATTCCTAACCATTGAGCACATATTGAACTTGTCTTCCCTTGATCACTTTGCTGGTGTTTGCTCTATTCTCCTAATCTCTGAAAATTTTATTCATACTTTCATTTTCTCCATTAAAACTCTTTTAATTTTAATAAACATGAGCTAGTTCTGCCTCTTTCATTATACCCCTTGTAATATGTTGTTTTTCCCTTATGGTACTTACATTTTTGCCTTGTAATATAGTTCTCTTAGCACTTACGTTATATCTATGAGCTTTGCTATCACTTTTTCAGTATCAGCTAGGATTCTTTAGTTATGGGTAATAGAAACCATCTATGGCTAGCTTAAAAGGAAGAGAGGGAGGAGGGAAGGAGGGAGAGAAGGAAGGGGGGGATGGAGGGAGAGAGAGAGAGAAAGAAAAAAATAAAATACAACCCCTATGGAAAAATGGTATGTAGATTCCTCAAAGAACTAAAATTAGATCTACCAGTAGATCCAGCAATCACACTAGTGTGTATCTACTCAAAGGAAAAGAAGTCATTATGAAAGAAAGCAAACACCTGCACACAGCACAAGTCACAACTGAATACATGGAATCAGCCTAAGTGCCCATCAACCTATGAGTGGATAAAGAAATGTGACACATATATATATAATATTACATATATAATATATATCACATATATTATATATAATATATATTATATGTAAATATATATAAATTATATATGATATATATAATATATATTATCTAATATAATATATAATTATATATTTTATAATATATAATATATAATATATATCGTACATAATATATATGTATATGTAATATATACATATATATGTATATATGTATATATGTCTATATATACACACATATTGTATATAATATATATACACATATATGTCTATATACACATATATGTGTATATATGTGTATATATACATATGTATATACACATATACATATGTATATATGTGTATATACACATATGCGTATACACACATATGCATATGTATACATGTATATACGCATATGCGTATACACATATACATATGTATATATGTATATATTAAACATAATACATGTATATATATATTACACATAATATATATATATTATATATATTATATATATACACACACACACACACACACACACACACCATGGAATACGACTCAGGCATAAAAATGAAGAAAATAATGGCTTTCATAGCAACTTGGTTGGAATTGGAGGCCACTATCCTAAGTGAAGTAAATGAGGGACAGAAAACCAAATACCACATGTCCTCACTTGTAAGTGGGAGCCAAGCTATGGGTATGTAAAGGCATACAGAGTGATATAATGGACATTGGAGATGCAGTGGGAGGGTCGGGGTGGGAGCAGAGTGAGAGATGAAAAATTACCTATTTATTGGGTACAATGTACACTATTCGAGTGACAGGTACACTAAAAGACCAGACTTTATTACTATACAATTCATCCATTCAACCAAAAACCACTTGTTTCTCTAAAGCTACTGAAATTTAAAAAATAAAATAAAACACATGGGGCAGCTCATGGAATGGATGGAAAAGTAGAACAACCGGACTTCAAGAAAGATAGAAATATGAAAACTCCTCAGATATCAGTATCTAAAACAAAGGAAGAGAATCATCAAGGTCCTAATGTCAGAATAAATGAACTCCAACTGTTTTCTATCCTTACTTCATTTTACTCGGGATTACAATTCCTGAGACAGATTTTGGTTGACATAATTTGGGTTATTTGCCATCCCTTTGTCAGTAACTCAAATAAGTGTACCACCAAAATTATAGCCAAATGAAAGAAATGTGATGAGATCATTTGCTTACAGAAGATGGAAAGATGGTTCTGGGTGGGCTAACACAACACATTTCTCCTATAGCAACGTTCAGTTAGAGGAGAATAAGCCACTTGCTCTGAACAGTTAATGGCACATAATATACGATATGCGTAATGGTACATGTTTGTTACATTGATGGCTGAAACCATAAAATAAATTTTGAAAATTTTAAATGTTATTGTTTGACTACATTATTTGTTTTGGAGGTTTTAGACTGAGAAGCAGTTATTTCTTTTAGTTGGATGCTATAATATGACTATAACTTAATGGACGATTAGTGATAGCATTTAAAATTTGGCATAATATGATGTTTTACAAGTACAAAAGGATACAATATAATTTCTATGTATTATCACATACTAGGGATAATACTAGGATAACAACTAACGTTTATCAGTTTGTTAACCTGAACTGAACTATTTTCAGTTCTATTCAGCAGAACTATGATTTAGTTCATTCAGTAATTCTGTTTCTAGGCAAGGTGTGGTGGCACACACCTGTAATCCCAGCACCTTGAGGGGCCAAGGTGGGAGGATCACTTGAGGAGTTTGAGACCAGCATGGCAACATAGTGAGACCCTATCTCTACAAAATATGAAAAAAATAGCCTGGCATGGTGACACATACCTACAGTCCCAGCTACTCAGGAGGGTGAGGCAGGGGGATCACTTGAGCCCGGGAGTTGGGGGCTAGAGTGAACCATGTTCTCGCCATTGCACTCCAACATGGGTGACAGAACAAGACCCTGTCTCTAAAACAAATAGTATAATAATTATATTTTTAGACCACCAAATAGGTATTGAAATGCATACAACTCAGTCTAATCCAAGTTGATGGAATAGTAGTTTAAATCTAGTGCACAAAGTTCATTTATGAGATCAAAAACTACCTATAGGTTCAGCAATTCTACTTACAGTTAGTAAAACACACTATCCGTTTGTACCCGCCACCTGCAGTATCTAATCGTTTACAGTTCTTTTTTTGTCTGGAGTTTAAGGCAAAAGATAATTGGATGGGGGCTCTGAAACTATCAAAAAGAGAAGCAAGCCCATGTGGTGACTAGTGTTCTCCTGTGTGAGAGGACAAAAATCCAAAGAGTTGCCACCATGCTTATACATCCCAAACATGGGCTTCTCTTCCCTCTTCCCTCTCTGTCAAGAAATTTAGTTTAAAAACTCACTTTACATAGAGAATCATGCAAATCCACGTTTCAGTCCAATAAGTAGCTCAAATGACTTTGTTTCCACACTTCAGATCAAATAGACGTTAATACTTAAAACGTACCATTTATTATTTTGTTCAATTGGCTGTTGCATGTTCATTAGATAAAAATAAGTTACCTTGCAACATATTTAGGTTTGCCCTCATAGTTCCAAAAGATAGAAGAGTTTAAAAAAAGAACAAATGAAAGAGAGAAGGAGAAAAAGAAAGAGGGAGAAAATAATACATGTACATACATATGTGTATGCATATTTATATGAGAGCCTATATATATCACTCTGTGGACACAAACTGGTCCATTTGCAAACAGCCATCTTATTAGCATCCCAGCTTAGCCAAATCCAAAGAAAAACTTGTTTCTTTGTTCGGTCTTTAAAAAATAAAAGCTGGTTTCTTTTTTTAAAAAAAAATTACATATGTTACATATATTCATTTGATTTAAGTCCCAAAAGACATTAAATTGAAACTCTTTAAAATTAGCTTTAGAAAAACTTTTATTAATGAGTTAAAAGTAAGTTGGTTAACATAATTCAGTAAGACTTTCTTAAGGCCTCCAGTGAGCCTGACACCCTGCTAGGCATTGCTCTTCTTACTCAAAATCTCATTGTAATTTGCAAGTTCAAGTCGCTCCTCTTAAAAAAGGCATAGAAGTCAAGGTGAGATTTGTCTCCTCACCTTTCCAGTCTTTCTTACAGCTTCATGCTCTTCATTTTCCCCTTTCTTGCACATGCCTCTCTGGACCTGCCACTCTGAGGTTCTAACTTGTTTAAATACTGGACTTCCTTCAGCTCTCTGGTTGGGTGACTTTTCTGCTGGGAAGGCTTCCCTGACCCTCTTCTTGCCTCCCAAGTTTAGGAAATTTGTAACCTCCCACATATTCATGCACATCACCTACCATCACATTTATCTCATTTCACTATAATTGCATGTTTGCTTATTTTTATACAGTTGCAGTGTCAACTCTGGAAAGGCATAATCTGTAACTACTTTGTTGATCATTGCAACTGCATGTAGAAGCCACTCCTTATATAAGTATTGAGTAATTACATTGCTCAGAATTCTCCCTCCAACTCCTCTCACCCTTGCCAGCCCTGTTCTCAAATAAAATGCAGCAACATCCTTTGTAAAAGCAATTCTCAAAACTAAACTGGCCTTGTATACAGTTAAGAGTCCTCTGTTATTTATTTTTTTTCCTTTTTATACTACCTGGATGTGTCTTAGCCTCTCCACCCTTTCCCCGCATTGAGCAAGTTGACTGCTATAAACAAGATGTTTCTGTTTTATATTCCGGAATGCACAACAACTGAAGCAAAGGCAAGGTGACTTTGCTGTAACTCAGCAGTCTTTTTAAAATGTTATTTTCCCCCCTTCGTAGGTCCTCAGAACACTGCCATTAAGGGCTTCGAGGTGAAGATACATTAGATTAAAAATATGGCAGACAGGGACCCTGAAGCACTTTAAGAAAGCTTGGTCTGCAGGAAATCCTCATCTTGGCTCCAATCATCAGAAAACTTGATCTTTACCAGAGGTAGGTTCATCAACCTGCATTTCTTTAAGATTTTTTTTTTAAACGAATTCCTTTCATAGGAAAAAGAGTTTTATTTTTCCCTTATTTCTAAAATGTAAAAATAAAATTAACTTTCAATATGGGAAAGATCTCACTAAAGTCTTTCTAAATTGGAATGATTTTATTCAGTAGAAAATGTTCATTTCTATATTGCCTCCTCTTTCGGAATTCCACAGGTGACTTATGGTTTATTCTAAAGAAGGTTGCTTTAAACTATGTAGTCTGCTGACAGCCATTTTGATAAATCTGCATGCGTCTAGCCACTGAATATCTATGGACACAAAAATTGTGGTTTTTGTTTTTTTTTTTGGAAAGAGAGGTTATTCTGTTTATGAATGCAAAACAGAAGCATTTTAGGTCTGATTGAAATGGTCTGAGTAAACAATTTTCTGTTACTCTTGTCCCATCATCTCCACAAGGGAGATAAACTCGCTGTGACAGAAGGTTAGGCTTTTTGTTTCTTTGTGATTTGCAGACTTTCAGGAAAGCCACACCAGGTTAGCAGCACTTTTTCTAAGGATCTGTTTCTTAGATTCCCTATATAAAACTTGGTTGGATTTTTTGTTTTTGATTTGTTTTCTCTTCTGGAATGATTCTCGGTAAATTTGCCAATCTCCAGAAGGGGTTATAGATACATTCTACATGAAAAGAAGTGACACTTGGATTCAGTTGAAGATGGCACTTGAATCCTCAGGATGAATAACCATCTACAAGGATTGTGGAAGGAGAAACATCAACCAAAGTCAATAGTTCAAGCCTTTATTAAAAATTGCAACATGGGAGGCGGCTTAAAGATTGTACAGGATAAATTAAGGAAGGGCATTCAAAGTTCAATTTTGTTCCAAGAATAGTTGACTGTTTGATTTCTTGGAAGCTATGGGGAAACTTTGGTTGTGTTAATCATAGTGTCTCTCACAGTATCAAGCCATGGTGCTTTGGATTACAGAAATATCAGTATTATCATATTACTTGAATATTTAATCCATTGGCATAATTGATAAG
Source organism: Homo sapiens (assembly GCF_000001405.40). Taxonomy (NCBI): domain Eukaryota; kingdom Metazoa; phylum Chordata; class Mammalia; order Primates; family Hominidae; genus Homo; species Homo sapiens. Next base: position 165,350,092 of record NC_000005.10, read on the forward strand.
GTTTTATAATACATAATTTTCTGAAATGATAGATGTACACTGTGTTTTCACCGTAATATTTGCATCATATCCTTTGAGAGAGCAGAAGAGCGCTGTCTTCAGCTCCTGGAATACTGAGAAATAAATCTATAACTGTATTTCACTCCCACCACTTTCACTCATACTCACACATAGATGTCTAAAATGTAGATTTCTAAATATTGAACAAATATAAATGTGTCATTGATTCAACTTACCTCAACGTAAGCTAATTATCTTTCACTTCATTTATTTTCCAGTTTTGCTGTTCTCTGTTTTCCAGGATTTATGCCACCATCATGTTTTTGATCTTTCATCTTTTTAAAAATCCTGATTATATAATTAGTCATTTATGCTAAATGTTTTTACTTTCAGATGAATCTTTTACTCACTCTTTGCAGAGTCCCAATGCAACTTAACCTTCTTCAAGCTTTCATGCTCTTTTCTGATCTAACACATTTTATTCCTGATAGGTCTCTTTCTCTGCACCCCCAAACTGAAATTCAGCCTGTACTCAAGTAAAATAATTGGATTTCTTAAATAGTACTTCTATTGTTTCTACCAGTTCATAAAATTTTACATGCATCTCATTGCCTTATTTTTAATCTTGAACTGAATGGCATTTTCATCTCTGAAATCCCATACCATCAGTCAGTGCATGGCTTTATACTTTGAAAGCATGCAGTTGAATGTATCAGGAATGAAATAATTTCAGTTTCTTGTTTTTTTTTTTTTGTTTGTTTGTTTTAGATGGAGTCTTGCTGTGTCGCCCAGGCTGGAGTGCAGTGGCACAATCTCAGCTCACTGCAATCTCCACCCTCCAGGTTCCAGCGATTCTCCTGCCTCAGCCTCCCAAGTAGCTGGGATTACAGGTGCACACCACCACCCCGGGCTAATTTTTTGTTATTAGTAGAGACTGGGTTTCACCATGTTGGCCAAGCTTGTCTCGAACTCCTGGCCTCAAGTGATCCTCTCGCCTCAGCCTCCCAAAGTGCCGGGATTACAGGCATGAGCCACCATGCCTGGCCATGACTGCAGTTTTTAAAGGATCTATGTTCCCACAAATTTGTAACTGCCCATTCCATTTATTAATTAGAATTTGTAACCTAGTAAGAAGACCTTTCAGTTTTAAGGCTTTGGATGTGGGAAAACAGGTGGAAGTTTGGAAGCAATATAGGGTAAATTACTAGTTAAAAAGCAGCCCCTTCCCACACAAAATACAACTTTTCTGTGACAAGTGAAAGTGTGATGGAAGGGACATGGGAGAACAGATTTCAGGTAATTTAACGTTGATAAAATGAGTAACAATACTCTTTTTCTCTTTTTAATTCAAAGTATAAACTTTCACAGTGGGTCTCTTTCCTAAAGGAAATAAAGCTGCCTCCGTACACAGCTTCATCACTGGCCTGAGGGCATTTCAGTTTATTTCAGCCAATTAAAATAACAATTACTGCAGGAGGTGCTTATGGGAGTACCTTCTGCTGGTTGAGTCCCCACCACTCCTGGTATGATTAAAACTCCTCAACTTCAAGTTTTCATATCGCGATGACTACTTGTACTTCAAAAAAAAAACTTGTACAGTAATTTGGAAGAGCACGTTCTATTTATTCCCTTCATTTTCAAATTCTTTTCTTAATGTTTTACAGACCCCTTTCTACAGTATTATAGCCTGGGCTTCACCTCTTCTTCCTCTTCTCAGAAACAGTTTGTACCTACTAAATTATTATATAAAAGCCAGCACCATTGTTAAATATAATTTATAATGAGCTAAAGTCAGAAACCGAAAAAGTAAAATAAAATAAAATGAATAAGAAACCACCGTTTTGGCCTGAACTCCTGCACTAGGTCCAACAGACCAAACCAAAACAGAGTCACTCAGACTAAACTTCCATGTAACCAAGCCAAAACTAAATGGCTTATCTAACCTTCCCAGAAATCAGAAGAGAGATAATAGCCAAATTCCCCAGCAGGCCAGTTTTAGCTGGCATGTTGAGTCCCCTCTGCTTTAACCTTTACAAGGGAAGTAACTTTGAAAACCCAAAAAGCTTTTTGTTCCTCTGTTTCTGCTTTTCTCAGCCCTTTTCTCTCTCTAAAGCCAACCTCTTCTTTTCAGCTCATTGGAACACTCTTTCTGTTTTGTAGGATGAGGTGTTGCCTGATTCTAGAATGGCAAATTAAAGCCAATTAAGATCTTTAAAGTAAATTTGTTATAATTTTGTCTTTTGCCACCACGCTTGCTTTATTCTGTCAGGAGAACTCTGAGTTCCATTTTATTGAGTTTGTTGAAATATTTCCATAATAGATTTCCAGTGTAAGCTGCTTTATTGCTGACAGCAAAATGATAATTCCAAGCATCCTAACTTGACATATGAAAAATCTTAATGATAATACTGATTAACATATCTTTTGCATTTAAATTACTACGTTTTTTAAGAAGAGAAAATTGTACATTTGGTGGGTTGTTTGCATAGTCAAATAAACATACATCAGGATGTGCAAGCTAGTAATTAGGTGCATTTATCTGTTTGTGACACCACTGGAAAATAGTTTGAATGAAGACTTTAGGGGCAAAATACTCCCACTTGAATTGTCACTTCAAAAAACATGACCTCCCTTAGAAAAATCAGTGCTTATGCGTAAACATAGGAAGCATATGCCTAGTGCATGGTTACTTCAGCTACATATATTTATGAAAAATCTTTTTTTGAAATAATATATAATTTACATTTCATAGATTTGTTTGCCTTATGTGTCATCATACTGTATTTATTTAGAGAAAAAAAGAATTATTGGACTAAGGCATTCCCATCGTCCTAAGAATTTAGGTATTTAGAAAATATTTAGCATTTTAAGGTACTTGTACTGACCAAAGTTCAAGGAAAGGAAGGCTGAAAAATGCAAGTCGTTTCAGTGTGACATGACTGTCTAAACAAAACATGGCAGTTCAGATATGGAGGTTTCCAGCAAATACTCTACTCAGGATTAAGCAAAGTTAGTTTTGTTTTTTGGAGGACTGTTTGTTTTTGGTGAAAATTCCAAAGTGATCATAATATTTGCTTTTTTCTAAAACATGTTTAAATCTTATCATGAATATTTATCAGTTCAACAAGTACAGATCCACTTTAGTGTGTCAGTCAACTTGATAGTGACGTTTAAGATTGAGGCCAGACCAAAACAGCAAGTTCCCCTTTCTCTTCCCCTCCCCACCTAGCAAAGGTAAGACAATACCATACTTATTATTTTTACCCCCTACAGATTCAAGTGTTCTAGGTAATCTATGGGAAATTTGTTCTTTCTGATGCCCCAATTTTCTGATCTTCTTTTAACAGCTTTCTTCTTTTGATACCATGTAACTTTAAATATACTAACATAATAGACTATACACTATATTCAAGTCAGGCATATGTTTTAGTTGACTCCATTTTACTGACAGGAAAGAAAAATGAATTTGTTCTTTACTTGTAAAGAGGGGGGTAGATCTGCAGAAGAGCAGCTTTTGTTCTTGTGAAGTGGGAGTGGATGGGATGTCAGTCTGAGAATTCATTTACTGTACATCAGAAGGGTATGTCAAAATGTGAGGTGAGGGATTGTGTGCCTTAGAATAAAGAGGGGATTTCAATAAGAGAAAAGGAAAGAGAGAACAAAAGAGAGAACATGATTGTGACAGAGATAGAGACATTTTAAGAAAGAAAAAAACAATTAAAATGAAGAAATTTTGCTCTGTTAGGTATAATTCACTCATGACTTCATGAAATCCTCAGTTAGAAACATTACTCAATAGTGCTGTTGGAGAATTTGCATTTCTAGTATTAGCTTGATTAAAAATGCATGCAGATCTGGTTATAGGAGCTGGTTGAGAGTAGGGTGATAATTTTATTATATTAATTTACATCCTGGAGATGACCTCTTCTCACTGTCTATAGCTATGGTTTTCAATTTAGTTGAGGGGCCAAGAGGTATAAATCTGAACAATACTTCCAAAACTAATACCAGATGATACTTCCAATAAGATTTCAATCTACAAAAGTAGATAGGCCTGTGGATTTTGAAACTACTTTGCTAGTGATTTTGATATGCATCTGTTATGGCAAGAGAAAGAAAACTAATTACTGTGATAAGCAGAGAGAAGAAATACACTAATGATAATTATTATATTTATTATACCTGAACATTGAATTTTCTTTTGGACTTTAAGCAGTATTTTAAAATATATTTGTATGTTTTCAATAAAACATGATATTTTACGATATCTATATTTGATTTAAAGAATATTATAATATTTTATGAAGTAGTACCCCCCTTATCCATTGTTTCGCTTTCCATGGTTTCAGTTACCTGCAGTCAACTGCAGTCCAAAAATATTACATAAAATAAGATTATTTTGAGAAAAAGAAAGACCACATTCACATAACTTTTATTACAGTATATTGTTATAATTGTTCTACCTCATTATAAGTTAATGTTGATAATCTCTTACTGTGCCTAAATTATAAATGAAACTTTATCACAGGTATTTATGTGTAGGAAAAAACACAGTATATATAGGGTTTGGTATTATCTTCAGTTTCAGACATCCACTGTACGTCTTTTTGTTTTGTTTGTTTTGTTTGTTTGTTTTTTGTGACAGAGTCTCTCTCTGTCACCCAGGCTGGAGTATAGTGGTGCCATCTCGGCTCACTGCAAGCTCTGCCTCCCGGGTTCATGCCATTCTCCTGCCTCAGCCTCCCGAGTAGCTGGGACTACAGGCACCCGCCACCACGCCTGGCTAATTTTTTTTTTTTTTTTTTTTTTTTTTTGTATTTTTAGTAAAGACAGGATTTCACCATGTTAGCCAGGATGGTCTCTATCTCCTGACCTCATGATCCGCCGGCCTCAGCCTCCCAAAGTGCTGGGATTACAGGTGTGAGCCATGCACCCGGCCCATCCACTGTAGGTCTTGAAATGTATCTCTGGCAAATAAAGAGAAACTGCTGTAACCAATTCTTATATCACTAATTAAAGCTAGGTGCATAACATTAAATGTAATTCAATAAAAATGTTTAAGAGCAGGTTATGGAGGTAGAAAGCAAAACAGCTATTGCTTAAAGTTTGTTATATATTTAGAGTGAAAAACAAGCATTGCCTAAAAAACTTTTATATAATAAACATGCAGTGTTTATTATATGACCTAAGAATGGCTAGCTAAAATATTATGTGGGTTACTTGTTTCAAATGCAAATTCTAAGTACTTATAGACTTCATCCTATGGAATTAGACTATCCTGTGTGGAATTCAAATTTGTACAAGATCTAAGTTCAAATTATGCATAATAAAATTTGATAGCTAATCTGTACCTTTAAAACTTCTAGAAAGCTTTAGATAGGCACTCAGAAGTAGATAATTCAAGATACTGCCCTTTGCTACAAGCAGGAAATGTTGGCATTCAATAATGCTGACTGAAGGAAAGTAAACTTCTTACTTTGATTTGCCCTCATGTGGAACTATTCTCCTTGGCACAGTACCCTCCACTAAAATAAGAACAACAGCAGCAACAATAAGAAAGAAAGTAAAACAAAAACATAACCATTGCTATTATATACACATGCGTTTATTCTACATTTATCTATTGAGTGACTCAACTGCACATAATGACTTCTTAACATTACAGTTGCATTATTGGAGGTGAAATGACTAGTATTTTACAGTATTTTGTTAAGAATAAAGTTGACAGTAATTCATTCAATAAACATATGGAAAGTCCTTAATTTTCTTGATAGTTTGGGCTAAAATACTGTTTTCATGGATTCTTCTGGAAAATCACTTCAGTAATCTCCTTCTCTGAAGTAAGGGACTCAAGAGACTATTTTGGATGAATTGGGATAATGGAATGAAAATATAATTTAAAAATTACTTAGTAAGTTAAATCTTATTTACCTATAAAATATGTAAAGCCATTTGTTGGTTATTTCACTTCCTATTAAATAAGAATTAAGTCAAGACTTAGCAGAAGCTGTTAACTCTGAATTTCCTAAGTAATTGTAATTTCATAGACCTAGTCTCTTGATGTACAACTTCATGTTTTTAATAATTAGAAATAACAGTTGATATTTGCAAAATATCTAAAGACATAGATGATTGCATGACAATTATCTATGAAAATTATCTCTTGGAATACAATATTTATGATCATGTTATTTTACTTTTAAAAAGTCTAACTTAATACCATATGCAGAGATCCACTTTTTAATTATTGCAATTAAATTAATTATATATTATCATACAATAAATAAAACTATTTTGATACTACAAATGCTGTTTAGAGCTAACCAAGTACAAAATCTCTAAACTGGAAATGTTTTTTCCACAAATACTTATAATAAATCAAACACTTTAAGGTTATAATACAATACTTACAATAAATAAAACACTTTAAAGTGTTTGAATACTTGAAGCTAAATATATCAGTGTTATGACTAAATAGCAGGATATTATCAAATAGAATAAATTCTCTAAAAATAAGATAACTATAAAAGCAAGTGAAAACCTGAGAACTGATTGAAAAGAAATTACCAAGAAGTAGGTATGAACCTACTGGCAGGATGAACATAAATTTGTAAGACCTATTTGTGGATATCATCCAGAATACTTGTACCTGATGTTATGTACATTTCATTTAATCATAGAAAATATACTGAGTCAAAATTAAAATGAAACACTCAAGGATAAATTTAGTGAAAACATTTAAAATGCAAATAGGAATCACCTAGAAATAGTACAATAGAGATTTATATGATGTGATCATAATAGCTGTGTTACTAAGACATGAAATATCTTAACAGTCCAAACATTAGGATAAATTGTTCAATGTTAGAATCAGCAACCTATTGATTGAGTTTTTTCCACTTTTCAGCCAATTATATTGTGGATTTTTAAGTTTTACCTTTTTTGAAGAATTTGTCTACTGGTATTCGCATAAAGTTAAAGAATAAAAATTTTCCATGACACATTCAGGACTATCAGGATAGGAAAGTAAGACTAATGCAGTGAGGTTTTGCAGTAGGGAAAGAGAGATTGGGCTCAACTCTGAATACAACAAGAAATAGTGGGGATTCATAGCCAAAGAGTAGAGTCAGGGGAAGTGGGGGCTGGTGGATGGAAAATTACTGTGAGGGCAGGGTAGTTCTCTGCTAAACCATGTAACAGCATTCTTGCTCAAAGATGGCCAGGGTGGTAAGATATTAACTAGGGGATAGTGAGGGATGAGAGATTTGGTCAAATATCAAGAATGATCAGACACCCGGGGTTTGCGGGGTGGGGATTCTGACTTAGGATGCGTGCTAAAACTGGACTCTACAAGGCCATTTAAGTACAGTTAATGAGTGAGGTGGAATGGATAAGACAAGAAAGTCTCTGGTAAACTGGAGAGCAAAAGCTCCACCTCGAGGAAGCAATAGCTACTTAGATAAATTTGCCATGTAGATGTTCTGGTCTAATGCTGTGAGATTTTCCAGTTTTTCAAGACAGATTCAAAATCTAAATCACTACTTCTCAAGATTTCTTAAATATTAGCATAGTATGCCAAGCTTTTTATTTGTGTGTGTGTGTGTGTGCGTGTGTGTGTGTGTGTGTGTTTTGAAACAGTTTCTGTTGCGCAGGCTGGAGTGCAGAGGTGCAATCTCAGCTCACTGCAACCTTCGCCTCCTGTGTTCAAGCAATTCTCCTGCTTCAGCCTCCTGAGTAGCTGGGATTACAGGCGTGTGCTACCACCCGGCTTATTTTTGTATTTTTTTTTTAAAAGCCATGGGGTTTCACCATGTTGGCCAGGCTGTCTCAAACTCTGGGTCTCAAGTGATCCACCCACCTCAGCCCTCCCAAAGTGCTGGGATTACAAGTGTGAGCCACTGTGCCCAGCCCAAGCCTTTTAAAACCGTTTAAAACAGTGGTCCCCAACCTTTTTGGCACCAGACACCAGTTTTGTGGAAGAAATTTTTCCAAGGACCAGGTGAGGGGTGATGGTTTGGGGATGATACAAGCACATTACATTTATTGTATACTTTATTTCTGTTATTATTACACTGTAATATATAATGAAATAACTATATAACTTAGCAAAATATAGAATCAGTGGGAGCCCTGATCTTCTTTTCCTGCAACAAGACAGTCCCATCTGGGGGTGACAGGAGACAGGGACAGATCATCAGGCATTAGATTATCATAAGGAGCATGCAACCCAGATCCTTCACATGTGCAGTTCACAATAGGGTTCGCGCTCCTTTGAAAATCTAATGCTGCTGATCTGAGAGGAGGCAGAGCTCAGGTGGTATTGTGAGTGATGGGGAGCAGCTGTAAATACAGACAAATACGCTCACCTACTGCTCACCTCCTGCGCTGCAGCCTGGTTACATTGCTCCGGGGTTGGAGATCCCTGGTTTAAAACATTTGCCAGCAAAATATCTCTGTGGGCTGGTATTTAGGGTGCACCCTAACTACATGTGCAGGGCAAATTAGGGTGCAGGGCACCCTAATACAACCTAAGGTTTTCCTTTCCCAAAATCTCCTTTTTTGTTTTAGAATTTTCTTCCCCGTTATAGATGAGGAAAATGTAAAAGGAAGTTGCGTATTAGCCTCACAAATTAGTAATAGACTGAAAAGAAAGCTACAGGAATTCAAAGATTGTGGCTGTCCTTTAAGTCATTGAATCTGCTACTCTCTGTAATTAGGAGATGGCATTAATCATTAATTAGAAAACAAACCCTAGGTGAGCAGTGTGAGGTATCTCCATGGGAACACCACTGGCTCAATCTCAACCAGAGTGAGTGACATGGGGGTATAAGCACAGATTTAGTACACAACTGTGCAAGTCTGATTTAGGCAACTAATGTATCTGTGTAAAAATCAACTAAAACATTATTTTCTGTGTATACTCACGTTTCCTCTTTCATCTTTTCCTTTTAAATCTTTGGTGATATGTTTCTGTTTGAATGCAGAAGTCGACGTGTGGTACTCAGGAGTGAAATATATTCTCTACCTGTAACATCAAACATTGAAACAAAAGAGCAGTTGTAGTGAGTTCATTGAGATTCACTGAAAAGTGTTGCTTGCCTGCAGAGTAGGTGAAAGTTTCCTGCCAGCTTCTCATTTAGGGAGAACCTCTTGGTTTACTCCTCAAAAACTGTACAAGCCTCTAAAGAGTGGTAGTGGAAACTAGATACTTTTTTTTTTTTTTTTTGCCTATATAGATAGTTGTTAAGTTATACAATGGAATAAGGATCGGAGAATTAATGAGGAAAGAAAAAGAGAGCTGTGATGGACTTAACAGTCTGAGTCTTTCTCTAACAAGCTGTCTGTATGTTTTTTGCCCATCTGCTGGGGAGTTTGAAATACCACCTTGCTGGAGAAGTACATAAAGAATGTGTTGCTACTTGTCTCCTCCTTAGAAGCCAGCTACATTGTACCTTACATTTGACTGGAAATATTTGCACCAGGTCCTATAACATGATACAGTTGTTTCAGATCATTGCATCAAATCCTCAGAGAGCCCCATATATGATTTGAGCAATGGGGGGTTATCTGGATGTACTCAACGAAAAGATAACTGATTTTGGTAGAATTTGTGAATTTAAAAGGTTGGAAAACACAAGGAAATTTTATTTGCTTAGATAGATTTTCTTATTTTAATGTGACAAAAAGTATAATTGAAAAACGTTTTCACTGTCATTGTAAACAGCTCAACTTACTCTGTGCCAGACACAGGAGTGGCTTATCCCACGTAATCTCGTCAACTTTTTCCCAGCCTAAGGAAGATACTGTTATTATGCCCATTTTACAGACACTTAAAATGGCTTACTATCACCCAGCTAACTGGTGGCCCAGGACTCGAATTCAGTCTCCTCCGACTCCATAGTTAACTCTTAAATAATGACAAGAACAACAAAATAGTAGCAACAGTTGCATTACATTCACTGTGATCCAGGAACCCTTCTAAGCACTGCACTGTGTATTAACTATTTAATCATCACAGCAACCCTCTGAGGTGGGTTTTATTATTATTATCCTTATTTTACAGAGGAAGAAACTGAGTCACAAAACACTAAGCAACTGGCCCCATTACCTCCAATAATTTATTAACATGATATGTAATACACAAAGTAAAACTGGTCATCTGAAAAGAAAAACATTAAATTTACAAACTGCATAAAAGCTTGTGGATGGTATTTCTAACCAACAATGGCCAGAGAAAATGATTTTTTCTTCTTTCACTCCATTAACACAATTAACTTAATCATTATCAACGTTTCTTGCCTGGCAAATGTGGAGCCTGGAAATAGTTACTTTAGTCAAGGGACTGCCCTTGTCAAGGTCCAACATAATTTAAAGACAAGTTACCATTATCATCGTTAAGTTCTAAAGAAGATTCTCTCTTGCCAATTTGTGGTTTTGTCCTTCTGGTGCTGTTGGTTTCTGTTCTGGTCTTAAAGCCCATCTGTTAGTCCAGCTGTAGGGACTGAGTACCTCTTACATCCGACTATGTGTATATAGTTGATTGAATAATTACTAACAAATTTCAGAAACTTCTTTGTTGTTCCATTTCAACATGATTAAAAAGCAAGCTCACACTTTCTAGAAGACTGCAGAATAAGAAATAGATGATCTGAAGAATACACATCTCGTGATATCTGATCGAATAACTTGAAGTCTATAGATCCTTTCTCATGAAAATAAATAAGTCAGCTGAAGGCTAGAATCAGAGTGACTAATGTAGTACAGCGATGGAATTGTGTCCTTTCCCCCTACTTAAAAATAATGATAGGTTCTTCTGGAACCTGCTTAAGTAAGTGACACATGGAGAGATGGATTGCGACGCTGTGACATATGGTGCACTGGTATTGCAGTTGTATTGTAGAGATTATTACTAGCAGCAAGATTTTATAGTTATTGCCCTGTCAAGCTGGTGTTTTAATCACTATCATCAACACCGCCTTCATGTTTTACCTCATCTTCTTTTCGGCAAGGCAGACCAGTGTGTCATCCAAAGAGAAACTCATTTGTTTGGACCGATTATTTCATTAAGATACATATTTCAGAGGGACATGTGAAGGATGACTTTATGAGGCAGGGGAAAATACTCACCGTATGGAATAGAATTTAAGGACTGCAATTATTGATCTGAGAAGGCATGAGACTGGTGAGTTTGCTAAGAATACCACAAGCCTGCCTTAGAGATGAGGAAGGACTGAGGGTGCAGGTGTTTCCTCTTGTTCCTGAGAGCAATTAGACAGCCAAATGATTTCCACTGTTACCTAATAAGGCAACAAGTGTCACCTGTCGAAGTTGATTCCAGGCGCTTTTAATGCAAACATAGCTCAGCTTCTCCAGCTCACTAACATTCTGTATATTTTACAGACTCAGGAGAGGCAAAGAATGTAAACCATCACAAGTAAAGGAGAAAATGAAAAAATGGGTTAAGCATCGTTTGTCATTTGATCTTTAGTTATTTAACTTTGTTTTTTAATAAAGTAAAATTAAATCCTTTTTATATGAACCAGATCCCACCTTCACCCCACTCCCAAAGTTTTCAAAGGTAACTATTCTCAGTGTGGGTTGTCAGTTTCACACGGTAGAATACACCATAATATTTTCATTTTGTCTTCTTTAGAGGGAAACTAGACTGTTTCCTCAAACCTTTTTCTGCCTCCCATTTGAAATATAAATCTGGTTGAGAAGCTTTCTTGGTGAAAGTTACAGCTGTGGGGTTCTTTTCCCCTCTGTTTGTTACAATTGACCTCTTTCCTAGCACATTAGATTCAGCCTCAAACTTAAATTGCAAGGTGTTATGAATAACACGCACGTCACTTCAGGCTTTGCTGGTAGAGCTGTTCTTTCCCAGTGTCTCAGCACATAGCACCTCCTAAAAAGCCAAGAGAGACAAACTTCTCATTTGTGGAGCACAGCAGGTCAGCCCCTTCCATATGCTCAAGATTTGTGACTTGTGTCATAGGCAGCCCATTCTCATCTTTCAAGTCCTAACAGTTCAAGAGCCTCAAATCCCTTTGAACCCAGATTAAATGGGTTCTGGAAAACGTGCTACTGTGTGTAGGGACTTACTGTTTTCCTGAAGAACAATGCATTCTGGGCCCTCCTAGACTACCTTTTGACTAAGGAGCTCCATACTAATCTTTTATCTGATTATCACCCAAACATGCTATGTGGGGGTGGCTATGTATATATTCATATTTATGTATAATTCAGCGTGCATATTTGTATCATTTTACCCTCTTGGCAAGCACATTTCAAGACCCAGCTTTCTCAGCCAAAATGAGTTTCATGATTTAAGTACGTTGTAATGCCACATCTCTTTCTTGCCAAGTACAGGGGACACATCAGGATGATTTCTCCCATTGAGCTTCATCTGCGAGTACTATAAGACACCTTCACTGCAGTGTGATCCTAAAAGAAGAAATACCTAATCTATCTAAGCATTCCTGATGACACATCAGGAGACATGAGCTCATTTTAATCTCCTTTCCATCAATATCCGTATCTTAGGAAGGCATCTCAAGCATTCTGGTTTATCTTAATGATGCAATATGTTTTCTCATTGATGAACTTAATCCCTTTTAGGTTTATGCTTTGTCCATTTTAAGAGTAATTTTTATTTTATTTTTCTTTGAGACAGCGTCCTCCTCTATTGCCCGGGCTGGAGGGCAGTAGAGCAATCACTGCTCATGGCAGTCTCAACCTCCTGGGCTCAAGGGATTCTCCTACCTCAGCCTCCCAAATAGCTGGGATGACATGTACACACCACTATGCCACGCCATCTTTTTTTTTTTTTAGCCATCTTTCTGAAGCTGGCCTAGAACTCCTGGACTCAAGCCATCTCCCCACCTCAGCCTCCCAAAGTACTGGGATTACAGGCATGAGCCACCATGCACAACCATTTTAAGAGTAATTTATTTCCACTTTTGTTTAAGGTCGTATCTTTTTTATCATTGCTAAACATGCTTATTGAAAGAATATTTTGTTCTAGATGCCTAGAAACAGTGAACAACTCTGTTCTGAATATTAATGTTTCTACAGAACCAGCATCCCATCTTCATTTCTTTTAAGAGCCCCTCTTCCATCCCTCTGCTCCTTTAGGAAACTTTTCTTCTATCAGTACTTGTGTTTCTGGTACAATCATAGTAGTGGAGACAATTTCTCATTATTATTGCTTTTGAAAATGTTTCTGACATTCCTTATTCACATATTATTCTAAATGAAATTTAGAATACATTTCATATACTGCATGCTCCCACATTCCACCAAAAAATGAGATGTTGGCTCACATTGATTTCTATTAAAATAATTAGGGGAGAATTGAAATATCCCTATCTTAATTATTACTACTGTTTACTTTGACAAGACTCTCCATTAATTCTATTGCATCTATGTTCATTTTTCCAGTTTTATGGTTTTCTATTTTGCACATCACTTACTCAGTTTGTTTCTGTGACTTTTTAAATTCTGTTGCTATTCTGAGTTAGATCTCTACTTCACTCAATATCTTCTCTAATTGGTTATTGATGATTTCTAAGACAGCTATTGATATGGGTATCTTTTAGCCTTCTATCAAGTTATTAATTATAAAATATGTGAATTTATTTTTTGTTTAGGTAAACAACTGTATCATATGTGGAAACATGAAAATAAAACAAAAGACAGTGATAAATTTGAGTCTTTTTTTCTTAGTATTTACATCTCTCATTTTTTCAACAATTATCTTTTGCCAAAATGCCCTCCAGACTGTCCCAATGTGAATACATCCTATGCATTAAGTCTCAGGTCAAATACTTGCTTTGGAATAAATACTTTACTTACCTTGACAAGCTGTAATATCTTCTAATGGAATCATTGCTTCTCTACTCACAACAGTTCTGACACCAAATGTGTGGGTTTTACTTCACATCAGCAACCAGTTGTCCAACTGTGTGAACACCAACTGGGTATCTGATGATGCCATTCAGTTCCAATACCAACCACCCTAAGTTAGTGCAGACCCACAGGTTGAGGACTCAGTCCTGCAAGACTGCCCCCTACTTCCGATGCCAGTCGCAAGTAGTGGATTCCCCAGATTACACACACTTCTGTCCAACTTGGGTATACATCGAATATTCCCAGGACCTCCTCTTCAGGTTCAAAAATTTGCTATAATGGCTCTCAAAACTCAGGGAAACACCTTACTCACCATTTCCAGTTTATTATAAAGAATACAGCTCACGAACACCCAAATAAGAGATGGGTAGGAAAGGTGTATGGGTGGGAAGTAGAGGGCTCCCATGTCCTCTCAGGTGTGCTGCCCTCCCAGCATCACGACACGTACACCAACTGGGAAGTTCATCAAATCTCATTGTTCAAGATTTTTTACAGAGCTTCATCTCCAGCCACCCCCTACTCTTTTCCAGAGGTTGGTGGGTGAAGCTGAAATTTCCAACCCTTTAATCAATTGGTCTTTCTGGGGACCATCCTCATCCTGAAGCTATCTAGAGATCCCACCCTGATTTACCATATTAGCATAAACTCAGTTGTGATCAAAAGGACACTCCTTTTATAAATAATAAAGTACACTCCTATCACTCAGAAAATTCCAAGGCTTTTAGAAGCCTTGTACCAGGAACAAAGACTAAATATGTTTCTTATTATACCACATCCCCCTTCTGGAAATCTCTAAACTATGTTACAAATCCCTCTCTTATAGACTATAATACTATAGAGAATAAAATTATGATTATATAAATGGATTAACATAATCAAATTATGAATAATAGGCATAACAGAATTTTTCTTTATAAAGGTATGTCACTTTCTCCCACATTTTCTTTAATTGAAGATCCCACCAGCTTGCCTTGTGCAGAGGAATCTGCAATTAAAGAAAGAAAGAATGGCTCTGGCACTCAAGGGCCATTCCGGAACCATTTTTTTATGGATTAGTGTTATATTGGCAATGCACGTGTCTCCAGCTTGTTAGCCTGGTTCTAAGGACAAGCCATACATTTTATGTAACAGTTAAAATTTTACCCTTCAGTTTTCTCAAAATGGTTCAGTGTGTGCCATCCACATGCTGTGATTTATCTGTGTCAGGTGTATCTACTTCATCTTCTGTGCATTTAGCAAAATTTGATCTAGTATCTCTAAGGTGTATGGTTCAAAAGCCTTTTTTTTTCTTTTTGGCTTACACTCAAGTCTTTCAATGTACACTGAAGCAAATTAATTTTTTTTGCTATATTATTTTTATCCCTTACTGCTCGTTTCATTCCAGGATCATCAAATGGCCCCATTGTTTCACTACATCGTATATAAAGATTATTGTGTTGCTGACTTTGAAGTCTTTGTAAAGTTACCACTCAATTTACTTTATTGGCCATTTTTCACGTCTAATTGCATTCACACAATATGTGTTTCTATATTCACCTCACTTTGACTGCTCTTCCCTTTAAGATGCTGTATTTTCATGTCTAATTGCATGTGTGTTTCTATATTCACCTCACTTTGACTGCTCTTTCCTTTAGGGTGGTGTATTTTTACTTCCCATACACATGTGGAAGCTTTTTGCATCTTTTCAAGTCCTTCCTGACCAGTATCCTATGGTCCTCCTGCCCAGGGTTTTAAAAAGGGGTTTTCAAGTATTCTGTAGGTTTTCTGTTTTTCTCTGCTTTTGACATTTCAAAAATTCTATTCTTCTGCTAATTAATGTTTTTGCTAGTCATAGTCTATATTTCATGCTTACATTCCCAGAATCACCAGCGACTTAATTACTTACTAGTCACATGCTGGGGGAAAAAGGGTTCTCTCTCAATGCTTTGTCTCCATTCCTTTCATCAGGGTCAGTGACATCAGTTAGTCGCATTCTTCAGTTGGGTACCAAGATGAGGGGGCAATGTAGCTGAATTTTCAGTCTGTTTTCTTCCTGCAAAGATGACCTGGACCATGTGCCCCAGAGAAAAGGATGCTTTTTGATAACTTACAGAAAGTCATTGTATATGCTAAATGTCATCTTGCCCTCCTCATCTGGAGACAATATTCTTTAACCAAAATATTAAAGGTTAATGAAAGAAAGGAAGGAAAGATGAAAGGAAGAAAGGAAGGAAGTGGGAGGGAAGGAGGAGAGGAAAGAAGAGAGGCTTGGAGGGAGGGAAAGAGGAACAAAGAAAGGAAGGGAGGGAAAAAAGGGAGGGAGGGCGGAGGGAGGAAGGGAGAGAAAACAAAAAAATGAAAAAATAAAATTAGATAAATAAATGAACTATACTTCTGACTATTAACATATTCAAAAGAATTAGTTAAGGGTGGTGATAGAAAAGTACACACACAGACACACACACACACACACACACACATATGTATTTCTTCTGTTCACAAGATCTATTAGAATAGAAATTAGAATGAAATACCTGGGATTATGCCCCTGAGTGTATACTGGAGTTAGAATGTGTATTTCTGCAACTTTAAAGCTATTTTTTAGTGTACGTGTATTACATTAATTTTTTAACTATCACTTTTATTTAGGGATCTGATTATGAAGAAATGTGATTAAAATACTGTTTAAAACACATTTACTAAATATGTCAATTTTCAGAAAGTTTATTTTGTAATTAAGCACACTATGATGTTTAAAATATCTGATGAGGCATATGTATAGATATATTTTATATTTTTACAAAAGCCCACATCATTTAAACATAGCTCGATGGAGATATATTAATGGTAATGAAACCGTGAAAGTCGAATTCATTACTTGTTGTTTAGTAACCATTTCACAAACACCAGAACGCTATTAAATCATTGGTGAGCTTTATCTTAAAAGCAAAAAATATATATATTTTTAAACTTTAGTGTAAAATATATCAGTAGATATATTTAATAAGTTCAGTTTATTTTATTTATTTATTTATTTATTTATTTATTTGAGACAGAGTCTCACTCTGTCACCCAGGCTGGAGTGCAGTGGCATGATCTCCACTCACTGCAATCTCCGCCTCCCAGGTTCAAGAGATTCTTGTGTCTGAGCCTCCTAAGTAGCTGGGATTACAGACGCATGCCACCATGCCCACCTAATTTTTGTATTTTTAGTAGAGATGGGGTTTTGCTGTGTTGCCCAGGCTGGCCTCCAACTCCTGGCCTTGCTGATTCGCCTGCCTCGGCCTCCCAAAGTGCTGGGATTTACAGGTGTGAGCCACTGAGCCCAGCCAGTTCATTTTATTTTTATCTGTGAATTTTATTGACATATATACAGAAGAGTTTACTCATCATAAATTCAATTAATTGTTGCAGTGTGAACACACCATGCAACAGCCAACCAGATTGAGAACTAGAGCATGACCAAAATGTCAGAGGCCACACTTAAACATTGTCTCAGTCTCTGTCCTATTGATGTAAAAGGAAACCACTATGCTGGCTTCTGATATTGCTTTCCATAGATTAGTTCTTTCTATTTATAAACTTTGCTATGTTGGCTTTCTTCACTCAATATTATGTTTGAGAGTGTTGTCTATATTGCATAAAGAAAATAGTTTTTTCATTCTCATACTATAGAATACTTTGTGTGAACATATAGCAATTTCTCTCCCCATTCTACTGCTGATAGATTCAGGTATTTTTGAGGTTTTACTATTAGAAATAGCACAGCTCTGAATATTCTTGTATATGCCTTTTAGGCACATATTTATTTATTTCTATTTAGTATTCTCCTAGACTGAAATTAATGAGCCATAGGATATTTCTAGGTTCAGCTTTCATTTTTTCCTTTTACTATTGTGTAGAGAAAGCTCTCTCTAACCATGTTTTTCTCTACTCTCACACCAGAAGCATCAACACGGAAGACTTCCATGACTAAACGACTGGGGGCTTTACCCCACACTCTGAGCAGTGGACACCAGCTGAGTGTGCTCTAACTCAGTTCTGACATTATCTACCTGGAGAGAGTGTCAGATCCCACAGGCTAGGAGCTCAATCCCCAATATTGTCCTTCACAACCCCAAGTAACAGTCACAAGTCTGGGCCTCCGAAATTTCTGATTAACTGGTTTCAAGTTGGATTTCCCATGACTTTGGGTTTAGTTAATTTGCTGGAGTGGCAAACTCAACCTCTTTGTATATTTGAATTTAAACTGGGTCTTCTGTAGGCAGCATATAGTTGTATCTTGTCCTTAGTTTATTTTGACAATCTTTGACTTATTTAGATGATTTATTGAATGTATGTTTAATGGTATTATTGATATCACTGGATTGATATTTTCCATTTAAGTTTTTTTGTTTTCTATATGTCTTTTTAAAATTATTTTTGGAGACAAAGTCTCTGTCCTATGGGTGGAAGCTGGGTGGATGAAATAAACCCCAAACGTTTAGCCATATTCATGAGGAATTTAGCCTCTTCAACTTGGAGTTAGAAGAGATAAGAAATGCTGGGGACTTACTGCTCCAAATGAGATATAGTTAACCCTGACTGGGAACTAAATGGGAAGAATGCTCTGTTTTGTGGGCCACATCTTCCCATAATGGAGCTTGTATCAAACTGAGTTGGGAGTGGGAAGGTAGGGATCATGCTATGGCTCAAATACCACAGGTTCTTGATTTTTTTTTAAAACCATGTTTTAGCAGATTTTCATTAATACATGTTTTACATTTTGCCCTATTCCCTTAGAACAATGCCAGATATATTAAATTGTTGGGTTTGGGGTTTTGTTTGCATTTTTTAATAGTTTTCATCAGCTTTCTTGTTTCTCTGAGAAGTAAGTCTGCATAGCTCCTCATACTATTTTCCCAGAAGTGGAGCCACTTGTATTTTTTTAAGGCCACTGTTTATTGATATGGAATTCTATATTATTTATTTTTTTCAGCACTTTAAATATGCTTAACAGTTTTGAGTGTAGACCCCTGTTTCATTGTTGTACCTTCTCTCTATTATCTTGAGCCCTCCATTTCTGCCTGCTTTAGCTGTACTCCTAAGCATCCAAAAATACTTTTAAAAATAAATTCAGCTTTTTTAGTTGTTCTCAGTGGAGTTTTGGTCTCTTCCAAACTGCTTCATCATATGCAGGACTTTTTAATTAATGTACTTAAAGCTGGAGTCTGGGGAAGTAACCAAAATTTTTTAAAAATATGAATGTCCAAAAATTAACAGTAAAGCTAAAGGTATTTTTAAAATGACTCAATAATGGCTGATTTAGGTATTTTCTAGATGAACATTAAGTAAAGCTTCAGGAAATTGAGAAATGTAACTTTCTGTTTTACAAACAGCCCTTTTCTATTCCTCCCCAATACCAGATTGAATAACTTTTGATGGTCTCTATGGCACGAACAGTTCATGGAGTGAACACTTAAATGAAGAAGGAAATGTCTCTGACTCCTGATATGGTATAAACACCTGTCTAAATCATTCTGACAGACTTCAGGTCCTCTTATCTTTATACTCAAGTGTTAAAATAATGATTAAGTTCATTATCATATATAAATAACAAATCTTCCTGACAAAGCAAAAATAAGGGAACTAAATAAGAGCTTAAAATTTTAAGATACTATGAAAAACAGCCATCACAATTTTATACTCTAAGTGTCAACAACTCACATCCAGCAATTGTTTTAGAACTTAAAATATATAAAAGAAATTATTTATGTGCCTGGTTTTTTATACAGTCATTGAATCTACTCAAAATATTTAGCTATATTTAGTGATTTAGTGTTCAGTGCTATTTAGAAGAAACGAAAACAGTAAAAAGAACTTAGTTACAATGAAAAGACCCAGTCAACATAAATTTAACTTAAAACATAGTTTGACTTTTTATACTAGGAGGTCGGCTAGCATGTAAGTTTCTGTATTATAATTAAGGATAATAAATGTTTCCCGATCTTAAATTCTAACTTCTCTGATCATCTCTAACTTAACTTGTAATTAAAAAGATCACAAAATAAAGAAGTTGATGTCTCTATTTACTTGCTAATCAATTGTTTATTTGGTTCACAAATTCATTATTTTTCCAAAATGCTGATCTAATTTTCAGTCTTGATTACATGGAGAACCGAATTAGAGGGTTTGTTTTTTTCTTCAATTCTTATGTTACATTGGTTCAAGGATGAACAAAAATATAAAGAAAACCTGTCCATCTTTAGGTGAGATTTCTTTGCCAGGTTTAAGTATTTGTCAAAACAAAATCTGCTTAATGTGTCAAACTTGTCTATTATTCTTACTGTAAAATGTGGAGTGAAAAGGGCTTAATAGATGCAAGTAAAATAATCATAGCTAATATTTACTCGGTGCTTATTATTTTCACTGTATTAACATGCTTTGTGTACCTTGTCTTCTTTAGCTCTCACCCAACCCTGCGCAGTGTTTGTTATCTCTGTATTACAGACTGGATAAAAAATTAACCTAGAGAGGTTAGAGAAATTGCCTAAAGTCATGTGGCTTTTAAATAGGTAAATCAAAACTCTTATTCGCATAATTTGACTTCAAAGCTAGTATACATAAACGGCCAATAATTCTACCATCATTTTTTTCTTTAATTTTAAAAAATTGTTTAGTTTTTCACTTCATTTTTGAAGGAATAGATTCGTGTGCTATTTAAAATATGTAATTTAAGCATAGTATCAACATTTTTTAAAGTTTGTAGTTTCTCTTGTTTGTATTTTAAGAGCTTAGTAGAATCAGAAATTATATAATAACTGAATCCATACAAAACAATTTAGCAAATTGGAAATCCAATTGGTGTTTTCAAACTATTCTGTAAATTAAACTAATAAAATGGATTAGATACTAACCTATTGGTCTGGTTGAGATAGTAAGATTATCTAGATCACAAACCATCTGCACAATTGGTCTGTTTATTTTGTTTGCTGTAGAAAAGTGAATCACATTGACCATGGAGGAAGTGAATCAGTTCTATCATGGCATCTAATCTGCTGTGCAGCTTCAGAAACTGACCCTTGTCTATAAATTGTAGAAAGTTTGAAATGATAGTAAGGAAAAATATATTTGGATTCCAAATAAACTACCTATCTTTGTAGGTATCTGCATAAATCACTGCTTCTTGAGCGACTTCTCTCCTGCTCTTTCAGCTAGGTATCCAAAGTTGTTGCATAAACTATGAATTATTTTAAATCACAGTAAGAATGCTTAATCACGAACACTTGCTTATCTTCATGAAATCTGGAATGAAAGCAGTAATAATGTCAATCACTTATATATGCATTTAGATAAGACAGTATACAAGGTCAATGCTGAAAAGCAGGATTTCTTTTTTTGTTTTTTGCCTCTTCCAAATTCTTAAACTGTTACTCATTGGAGCTTTCAATGCATCTCATACAATGAATATTTCTTTGTCTCTTTACCCAGTAAAATTTACCTATATGGTACCCACATTTTTGCAAACATTTTCTGTAAACTCTTTGTTAATATGTTGGCTGGGTGCAGTGGCTCACGCCTGTAATCCCAGCACTTTCGGAGACCAAGGCGGGTGGATCACCTGAGGTCAGGAGTTGGAGACCAACTTGGCCAACATAGTGAATCGCTGTCTCTACTGAAAATACAAAAATTAGCCAGGCATGGTGGCGTGTGCCTGTAATCAATCCCAGCGACTGGGGAGGCTGAGGCAGGAGAATCCCTTGAACCCATTAGACAGAGGTTGCAGTGAGGGAGATCGTGCACCACTGTACTCCAGCCTGGGTGACAGAGCGAGACTCCATCTCAAAAAAAAAAAAAAATCTTGTTTGACAACTGCTCACCAGTTACCATATTTAATGCATTTAAATATAAGGGGGTAAACTATCACTTCTTAAGCAGGTGCTATGCACCAAATCTTATTTAAGATATTTTACATGTAGTATCTCTAACCCTCACTACAAATCTGTGATAAAGCTATTATACTTCTTACAAATAAGAAAATTGTTGCTCAGAAGTGTTAACTTACTTACCCATGGCACGTGGCTACCCCAAGTTAGTATGAAAGGATTTATATTATAGTGTTTAATTTTTTAAATGGGCGCTCTTTCCATGACACTTGAAAGCCTGAACCTGAAAGAAATGACTCTGATGCCACATATGACTTATACCATTCACTCAGGGGCAGTGTTTATAAGACACACAGTAAGAGTCCCAGGGAACCTGTCAATATATTTGGGGAAAATATCCCAGTCAAGCTACATGGCTGGTTTGAAACCTTGGTCCCCCTCCATACCCAGCTGTGAATAACATTTATCCTTGGACTGAAATAATTCTTAAAAATTCTCTGCATCCGGCCAGCCAGCTGACATTATTAATGGTTAGGGACTCGGGGATCGCCAGAATTCAAACTACTGGCACATTGCTGTTTAATAGCAATCGCGGTTCACTCTTTATCACTAAAAGCAGTATATGGTAATTAGAAATAGCACCCCAGAACAGGTGTATATGGAATCCCAAATACGAATATTAACACATAACCCAAAATTAACGAGCATCTGAAGAAATTGATGAATTAAAAGATAAACAGTCAAACTGAAAAATGAAAGAATGTCCAAAGCCTCAAAGTTAACAGAGCCAGTGCAAATTTTTTGAAAAATATATTTTATATTCTCAAACATTCAGAGTGGATATTATATCCTTGGGGATATGGGAGTGACTATTTTGAAAGGAAGACAATACGCATATTTTAAAAATTGTATTAATTATTTACTTTTTAAGAGACGAGGTCTCACTATGTTGACCACGCTGGTCTCAAACTCCTAGATTCAAGCGATCCTCCTACCCAGGCCTCCCAAAGCACTGGGATTACAGGCATGAGCCACTGCACCCAGCCTGCAAATCAATATCTTGAAAAAATAATAATATTATCAAAGAGGAAAACATTTAATTAGGCCCATGGATAGAATAGACAAATTTTTCAAAAACTGGAAATGAGAAGAAACTTACTAAAAATAAAGAAGAACAAAGTTTAATGATATAAGAATTTAAAGTGCCTAGATAAAGGAAAGAAAAATCATTATTGATCTAACATGATTTCTAAGAAGAGAAATTACAAATATAGAAAAAGAAATAATCAGAGGTAATAGAAAAACATATTACAAGCTAATGAAGTCCTCATTATTCACGGGAGGGGACTGCAAATGCTCATGGAAAATAAATGAAAAACTACATCATATATGTTGTGCAGAGATGTCACTAAATCAAGAATGATGAGAAATCTTAAGATTTCTAAAAAGAATTTAAAAAATAATGAACTACAAAGAATAAGAGTGTCCCAACAGAATCATGACAACCACTGAATGATAGATGTCAGTGGAATTCTGTACTAAGCTGTAGCAACATTCAAGAGAGAATGAAAAGCAAGAATAGTTTCAGTGATACAAGAACTGAGAATCCTTACCTCCCACAGACATATTCTAAAACATTTTATGAAAATATAGGTTAGCAAGACAGATTTAAACATTCAAAAGGCAGATGTAGAATAAGAAAAATAAGAAAAGCAGAGAGACCAGTGATATGATTAAATATAAAAGTCATTCAGTAGTAAAATACAGTAATCTGGAAAACATTTCAAGGAATTAAAATGGTGGGGAGAGAAATTCTGGAATTTTATTAGAAGTCTGAAAAGCTTAAATGTAAATCTGAAAATCATTGAGAATTCTCCTGTTTAATCTTTGTGGCTACATACAAATGTAGAAAAAATATAATCACATGAATGTGAATGATGACCAGCTGCTTCAGGAGAGTAATAATCTCTAAATAGAGATGGGAATAATATCAAGAATGGAAGGGACTAGTATGTATACTGAATTTTTTCTCCTATAATCTCAAAGAAAAAAATGTTGTGATTAAAATGCAGCTGGATGGTGGCTACCTAATTGATTGCTATAATATTCATTGTGATTTCTGGATGTCTGTAATATTTCATAATGACATAATAACTAAAAAAAGGACCAACTGAACTTTTCTTTAGAAAACAAAGTCAAAATTCTAAATTATAATATATATAAAAATACTTTCCAAATGGGCTAAAAAGTTTAATATAAGGCCAAAATATGAAAGCATTAATAAGAAGTTTTGAATACCTCCTGTGATCTTCTGGTAAGAGCAAGCCTGCCTAAGCAAAAGAATGCACCTGAAATCCTAAAGAAAAAGACTGATAAATTTATATAAAAATGAAATGCTTTGTAGAAATGAAACATGTCAACAAAGATAAAATTTAAACAGATTCGGATAAAATATCTATTTCCCCTCAATAAAATAGATAAGCATTAATATCAATAATATAAGAAAGCTACTAAGATCAATAAGAAACTGACAGTTATATAAAAGAAGACAAAATATATGAATAGTCTGTGCAAAAGATAACATATTTTAATAACTGACAAAATAATGAAAACAAAAGTAGGTTTAATTTGCTTATTACATTCAAAGGAATAACAAAAAATGATTGAAATCAATTTTTGTTAAAGTTGTGGTAAACCACAATATCTCATTTATCAATAAAAGTGTAAACTTATACAGCATTTACAGTAACTATCAAAATTTAGAATTTGCTTGTCCAATCATCCACTGACTATTGTACTGCTAGGTACATAGCCCAAAGAATTAGATACACATATGCACAAAAAATATATGTGCTTGCATGTTTAATGTAGCAGCATTTTGAATAGCATGAAATACTTGAATATCACCCAGGTTTCATTCAATATGGAATATAAAACAGTGGTGCCTTTATGAGTTACAATACAGCAAATAAAAAGAATGAAATTACCACTGTATGGACACATCTGGACTTTCATGTCACATTAACAAATGATGAAATGTTTCAAAATGGTACACACATTATCATTTCTGGCTAAATCATAAAAAACTAAACCATATATTTATATATGCTACATATATAGGGATATAAATTCTTAAACAGAGATCTTGAACAGCTAGTTATTTTCAATGATTCGTCTTGATAAGGGAATTGTGTCTGGGGTTGAGGAAAGTTGTATGGTGTGTGTTTTTCACTTAACGTACTTTTCAGTATTGTTTGGATGTTTATCATGAAAACGCATTCACATATTTTGTTATGTTTATTATTTATTAGATCAAATGTTCTAGCACCAGCTGGAGACTCTCTAGTTTTCCTTTGAGGCACTTATCTAAACTATAACACTTGAAATTATTTGAGCAAATCTCTGTTTAATATCTGCAGTCCCCTTGGCCCTTCCCTCCTGGCAGCTTGAAAAGCTCCAGGCAACATCTCTGTGCTGAAGGCGAGAAGAAAGTAGGAAGGGACAGTGCTGGGTGTATCTGTCTCTTATTATCAAGGAAGCAGAAATTCCCAGAATCCCAAGAAACTTCTACTTAGATCTCATGGTATATAACTGTGTTGCGTAAGCAAACCCAGCTGTAAAGAAGACTGTAAAAGTGAGTACTTAGTTTTCCAGACTTTATGCTTCTAAAGATCAGAAGAAAAAGTTTGCCAAGGGCTGTTGGGTCAGCATCTATCACATCAGGTTTTACAATTTTTTACCTGATAATGTAAATTTTACATAAATTCTGTCGATTGCATTTAACTGATAGCAGAAGGTATCTGCCCTCCAGACATGCCAGATAATATAATTTCCAACTCACTGTCTCTAAGTAAGTATTCATAATTAGACATAACTGTGGCTAAGAGAACCAATGTTTAGGAAGGCTTTACTGAAGAATGTGGCCTGCCCATTCCAAATTCTTTAAGTTCTTTTCTGTAAATAAGCCATCCAGCTTAGCACCATGTACTCTCCTACCTCCCTTTTTTTGTGTGTGCTAAAGTATCTTTGAATTGCTTTTCGCAAATTGGTCTTGGCAGTGACACCATCATTCATTCATGAAGAATATAATAAGAAACCACCCTGTGAAACTAATTACTACGTTTCCTTATAAATTATCTCTGTAGTGTTGCATAATGCACAACTTCATCAATTAAACAATTACTATGTTTTGAAATCTTTTTTCTAAATTTAAGAATAAACACTAAAATATTTACTGCCATGATTTTTATAGTCATGATTTTTAATGCCTGCTTTAGTGTTGTACTGATGTGTTGGAATTTATTTAACTTATTATCTTCTAATCATACAGCTGTTTCTGATGTTGTGTCTATTATAAACAAAGTTTCAGTGAACATCTTTGTCACTACATCTTTTTGACCCTCAATGACTATTCCCAGAAATGGATCAATGAATAAGGATGGGTGTAAGTCTTTTAATTTGCAGTAGAGTGGTATTTTAAGGAAAGTCAATGACACAAGCTGCTGAGGGGGAGGCTGGGGAATATTTTATTTGAAAGAACTGTAATGATCAAGGAAATAGCAGTAAGCCTAATATGCAATTTGGCACAGCAAACATTGATCTGGTGGGAATGAGCGTAATACTGAGGAGTTGAGGTTAGAAATGCATTTATAAAATAAACTGAGAAACAAAAAGAAGGTCTTAGAGAGATGATAAGACAAAATCTTCCACCATAGTTTGAGTGAGTTGAACTGGATTTGCAGATGGTATAACACCTCTCATGCCATTTGTAGAAGGATGATAATGTGAAAATAGGTTTGGAGGAGACGTAACCTGTGGTGCATGCAATGAAATTAAGTGGGAAGTGATTGAGTGCAAAAAGCTGTGCTAGAGGGCAACTGGAATAATAGAGGCATGAAATAATTATCACTGGGATCATATTACATTGCATATTAATACTCTATTTGTGTTTTCCTTTTTAATTTTTATTCAGTAAGAAATATGAAGAAAGTTTATATGAATGCAAACAGTGCTTATGCATTTGGATTTGTATTCTTAGTGTGGTCTTATTTTCTTTGACCCCATCCTTCATAATTCCTAGTGTATGAGTGTGTTTTTTTTCTATAAATACAGTCATGCATTGCTTAATGACAGGGATACATTCTGAGAAATGCATTATTAGGCAATTTTGTCATTGCGGGCACATCAGGTGAGTGTACTTCCATATAGCTAGGTGGTATAGCCTACTACATACCTAGGCTGTGTGGTATAGATATAGCTTATTTTTCTTAGGCTACCAACCTGTACAACATGTTGCTGTACTGAATACTGTAGGCAATTGTAACACGATGGTAAGTATTTGTGTATCTAAACATATCTAAACGTAGAAAAGATTCAGTAAAAATATGGTATTGTAATCTTATGGGACCACCATCCTATATGCAGTTTGTTGTTGATAAAAACATTGTTATGGGATGCATAGCTGTACAAGGACTCCTATCTATTCCTACATGTACATACAACTATGTATACATACTCAAGTATACACTTCTATGAAGTGTAGTCGTATATATATATGTGTTTATATTTTCACTATCAATTCAGGAGTATGCCTTTTTACACATTCCTACTATGGAGTGTTATAGCTCCTGATAATTTATGCTAAGGTAGTTGTAAAGAATAACTCAATATCACTTTAGTTTTATTTTATCTGACTACTGGTAAATTATAGCATTTTAATAAGTTAGTTGGATATATGCTTTTCCTCTTCTGTGAAATGTTTATTCATGCTCTTTATATCTCAAATGAATTATTTCTGTGCAACTTGTCAGTGAAAATTTCCTCGGGTATTATAGCCACAACCTTTGTCATCTGATTTTCAATTGTTTTAATGTCTTTACTTACGTATGAATTTTTGTCAGTTTATTTGTTAGAACCTTTCAAGCTGTATATTTTCAAATTTGGCTCTATTTATTTTGTAACTTCTGGAATTCCAGTCTCATAGTCTGTCTCACTTTGTGTACCATGTAACCATCACCCTTTTTATGATTATTTTTGCAAGAGTTTAATATTGTATATTATTTAAATTTTTGCTTTAATCCATCCATAATATTTAATTTTGTAAATGTAAGAAATAAGACATTTTAACCCCCTTCGCCCCAAGGACAGCTAGCTTTGTCAATACAATTTATTGAGAATATTTTCTCATTGAGTAACCACCAAACTCTGTATGTACCTCCTATATCTAGGGATCTAATTCTGGATTCTCCACTCAGTTCCACTGATCCATATGTATTTTTCTATACTAACACCACGTTAAATTTATCACGGACACTTTACAGCATATTCTGTTGCCCGGGAAGGTAGTTTTTTCCCCTCACTGTTCTTTTTCTACTTTATTTGACTATTTGTAAGTACTTGTTCTTCCATTTGAGCTTCAAAATTATTTTATTCAGTTGTTCACAAAATACCTTTTTGATATTCTTTTTTTTTTTTTTTTTGAAACACAGAGTCTCACTCCATCACCCAGGCTGGAGTGCAGTGGTGCAGTCTCTGCTCACTGCAACCTCTGCCTCCCAGGTTCAAGTCATTCTCCTGCCTCAACCTCCCGAGTAGCTGAAATTACAGGTGTGCACCATGTCACTCAGCTAATTTTTGTATTTTTAGTAGATACCGGGTTTCACCATACTGTCAAGGCTGATGTGGAACCCCTGGCCTCAAGTGATCCACCCACCTTGGCCTCCCAAAGTGCTGGGATTATAGGCCAGCACACCCAGCCTACTTCCGGTATTCTAATAGAAATTGCATGGAATTTATATACTAATTTTGGGAAAATTACTATTTCATGATAAATTCTTACACAGTTTTCCTTAGCATATTCCTTTAAATAGGTTTTTAAATTTTATAGTTTTTCTTGTTACTGTAAATGAAATTATTCTCTCTTTGATTTATAGCACTTATTATAAGACTAGAGAAATGCTCTCATTGCTTTTATATTTTACTTTTTTTTTTTTTTTTTTTTTGAGTTGGAGTCTCACTCTGTCTCCGAGGCTGGAGTGCAGTGGCACCGTGTCAGCTCACTGTAACCTCCGTCTCCTGGGTTCAAGTAATTCTCCTGCTTCACCCTCTGGAGTAGCTGGCATTACAGGCGCCCACCACCACGCCCGGCTAGTTTTTATATTTTTAGTAGAGATGGGGTTTCACCATGTTGGTCAGGCTGATCCTGAACTCCTGACCTCAGATGATCCACCTGCCTCGGCCTCCCAAAGTGCTGGGATTACAGGTGTGAGCTACTGCACCCAGCCTATATTTTACTTTTATTCAGCCATCTTACACATTTTTAAAATTAAGCCTAGTGATTTTTACTGAAGTCATTGGGTCACCAGAAAAAATTAAAAAATTCAATATGTGTTCTAATTATTAATTTTCCTGTCATTGCATTTAAAAATGTAGATACAATATTAAATCAAAATTATATTAACAGATATTACTCTCTAGTTTCTGATTTACTGTAAAATAGGTTTAATATCTCAATAGCATTAGTACAATATGTGCTTAGAGTTTATAATAATTGGTTTTTTTTTCATTAAATGTAAAGCCATTTACTTCTATTTCTACTTTAGTTAGAATTTCCACAAAGAATGGCTGGTTAATTTTTCCTGATGCTTTTCCAACATTTAATATGATATGACATTTTTTTCAATATGTCTATTATAAGATTTTTTAAGCTGGGCATGGTGGCTCATGCCTATCATACCACCAATTTAGTAGGCCAAGATGGGAGGATTGCTTGAGCCAGGGGGTTCAAGAACAGCCTGGGCAACACAGTGAGACCTTGTTTCTACAAAAAAATTTATATAATTGGCCAAGTGTGGTGGCACACACCTGTAGTCCCAGCTACTCAGGAGGCTGAGGCAGGAGGATCATTTGAGCTCTGGAGTTTGAGGCTGTAGTGAACTGTTACTGTGCCACTGCACTCCAGCTTGGGCAAGAGAAAGAGACCGTATCTCTAGAGAAAAAATAAAATAGGCCGGGAGTGGTGGCTGGCTCACACCTGTAATCCCAGCACTTTGGGAGGCTGACGCGGGTGAATCACGAGGTCAGGTGTTCGAGACCAGCCTGGCCAATATGATGAAACGTCGTCTCTTCTAAAAATACAAGAATTAGCTAAGTGTGGTGGTGTATGTCTTTAATCCCAGCTACTCGGGAGGCTGAGACAGGAGAATCGCTTGAACTCGGGAGGCAGAGGTTGCAGTGAGCTGAGATCGCGCCACTGCACTCCAACCTGGGTGACAGAGTGCGACTCTGTTTCAAAATAAAAAGATAAAATAAAATATTTCAGCTTGAGGTGTTGAATACTAATACAAATGATACCTGTATAATTTCTATGTAGTTCAATAACTATTAATATTTTAGCTTATTTCCTTTTCCTATATGTGTGATATATTGTCAAACGACTTGAAAATAGGTCACAAACATCATACTTCGTTTTAATAACTATTATACAAATTCATAATATAATTATTACACATAATATAATTTCTTATTTGCTGTCTATATGTGCTTTTGAACAACTTTATTGAAGAATAATTTATATTCAATAAAATTTACTTATTTTTAGTATATAGTTCAATTATTTTTTGTAAAGTTACTGAGTTGTACACATCAACACAATTCTATTTCAAGACATTTTTATCATGCCAATAAGTTCCCTTCTGCCCATTAGCAACCACTCCCTAACACTTCACCACCTCCCAGCCCCAGGAAACTCTTACCTAATATCCATTGTTATAGATGGTCTATGGTAAGTGTGCCATGTAAATGGAATCATACTTACATGTGCTACTTTGAAATTGACTTAATTTACTTAATAAAATGCTTTTGAGGTTCATTCATGTAATAAGTATCAGAACTTTTTAAAATTATTATTAGTCAATTTTTTGCTGCTATAATGAGTGAATACTTATTTTTTTTTTTTTTAATGAGTGTATTTACCTCACAGTTTTGGAGGCTGAGAGGTCCAAGAGCATGCCACTGGCAACTAGCAAGGGCCTTCTTGCTACAACATAATATGGTGGAAGGGCAAGCAAGCCCAAGAGAGAGAAATTGGACCAAACCTATCATTTCTATCAGTATTCACTCCTACAATAATGGCATTATTCCATTCATGAGGACATCTAGTCACCTCTTAAATGTTCTGCCTCCCAGTACCATAAAATTGGCAAATAACTTTCAGTGAGTTTTGTTTGGTACATTCAAACTATAGCAATTAGAAAATAGTATTTTATTGTATGGACACAACATTTTGTTTATTCATCAGGTTGTGGTTGTTTGGGTTGTTTCAACTTTTTGGCTGTTATAAATAATGGTGCTATGAACATTCATATAGAAGTCTTTGTGTGGGTATATATGTTCACTTCTTGTGGGAGAATATCTAGATGTGGAATAGCTGAGTCTTATGGTAAATGTATATTTAACTGTTTAAGAAACTACCAAACTGTTCTCCAAAGTTGGTGTACCATTTTACATTCTGGACTAGCAATGTACGAGATTCTAGTTTCTTTACATCCTTGTAAACACTTGTTACCATTTGTTTTTTAGTCTTTTAAATTAATTTTTAATTATTTAAAAAATTGAAGGAATTCTGTTGGAAGTAACATGTTATCTCCTTATATTAATTTGCATTATGCTGACAACTAACAGTATTGAGCATCTTTTCATGTGCATGTGGCCTTTGGTGAAATGTCTATTCACATACTTAAACACATTTAAATTGGTTATTTGTCTTATTATTGGGTTGTAAGAGTTTTGATCTGGGGTACAAATTTTAATCAGAAATGCATTTTGTATATGTATTCTTCCTAACTGGTAGCTTGTGTTTTCACTTTCTTAATGGTGGCTTGAAAAGTACAATTTTAAAAATGAAATCTAATTTATTACCTTTAAAATTACTCCTCCTCTTTGTGCCATATCTAAAAAATCTAGAATAAGTAGATAGAATATTACTATGGAAAATCTGAACTAGTCACACAATTTGACCTAACTGAAAATTACACAACACTGCAATCAACACCAATATAAAATAGATTTTTATCAAATACACACCAGACATGTATTGAATTAGATATATTCTAAACCATAAAGCAAGTCTCGGTAAGTTTAAAATGATGCAAGTCATAAAACATGGCTTATCTGACTAAAATGAAATTAATTAGAAATTGACAATAGAAAAATATCTGTAAAAATTCCCAAATCATTGCAAACTAAATAACATACTTTTAAATAATCAACAAAGCAAAAAAAAATTAGAAGGAAAACTAAATAGTATTTTGCATTAACTGAAAATGAAAATACAATAACATATCAAAATTAATGGAATGCTACAAAAACAGTACCTAGGAGGAAATGTATAACACTGAAAGCCTATCTTAGGAAACAGGAAAAGTCTCAAAGGTCACTCAAGTCAGTGACTTCATCTTTTCCTTTAAAAAGCAAAAAGAAGAACAAATTAAACCCAAAGTAAGTAGAAGAAAGGTTATAATAAAGACCAGCATGGAAAGCAATAAATTATAAATCCGAAAAAATAATAGAAGAAAATCAATGAAACCAGACGTTGTTGCAGCGAGATTAAGAAAATTGATGACATTCTACATTAATCATTTGATAAGTTAATCAGAAAAAGGAGATAAGACATACATTTCCAATGTGAGAAAAGATGATATCACTATAAAATATACAGATATTAAAATGACAATAAGGGAATATTATGAACAGTATCATGCTAATAAATTTTTCATGTTGGATGAAGTGGGCAATTTCTTGAATGACACAAAATAGGAAAGCTCACACAGGTAAGTATGGGTAATTGGAATAATTCTATGTCTATTTTAACAACTAGATTTGTAGTGAAAACTCCTTCTACAAAGAAAATCCTTGGTCCAGATGGCTTCCCTGAGGAATTCTGTCAAACATTTAAGGAAGAAAAAAAGAATCCTAAATAAACTGTTTCGTAAAATTTAATTGGGAATATTCCTCACCTCTCTCTATGAAATCAGTATTATTGTTATATGAAAACTAGACAAAGAAATAATACAAAAAAATTGATAAATCAATATCCTTTGTAAAGGGTCAAAACCCTTAAAATGTTAGCAAATTTGCAAAAAACATTATATGAAAATCATAGTGCATGATGGCCAAGTAGTTTTTTCTTTTTTTTATTATTATTATTATTATACTTTAAGTTTTAGGGTACATGTGCACAATGTGCAGGTTTGTTACATATGTATACATGTGCCATGTTGGTGTGCTGCACCCATTAACTCCTCATTTAGCATTAGGTATATCTCCTAATGCTATCCCTCCCCCCTCCCCCCACCCCACAACAGGCCCCAGTGTGTGATGTTCCCCTTCCTATGTCCATGTGTTCTCATTGTTCAATTCCCACCTATGAGTGAGAACATGCGGTATTTGGTTTTTCGTCCTTGCGATAGTTTGCTGAGAATTATGGTTTCCAACTTCATCCATGTCCCTGCAAAGGACATGAACTCATCCTTTTTTGTGGCTGCATAGTATTCCGTGTCACATTTCCTTAATCCAGTCTATCATTGTTGGACATTTGGGTTGGTTCCAAGTCTTTGCTATTGTGAATAGTGCCACAGTAAACATACCTGTGCATGTGTCTTTATAGCAGCATGATTTATAGTCCTTTGGGTATATACCCAGTAATGGGATGGCTGGGTCAAATGGTATTTCTAGTTCTAGATCCCTGAGGAATCGCCACACTGACTTCCACAATGGTTGAACTAGTTTATAGTCCCACCAGCAGTGTAAAAGTGTTCCTGTTTCTCCACATCCTCTCCAGCACCTGTTGTTTCCTGACTTTTTAATGATTGCCATTCTAACTGGTGTGAGATGGTATCTCATTGTGGTTTTGATTTGCATTTCTCTGATGGCCAGTGATGATGAGCATTTTTTCATGTGTTTTTTGGCTGCATAAATGTCTTCTTTTGAGAAGTGTCTGTGCATATCCTTTGCCCACTTTTTGATGGGGTTGTTTGTTGTTTTCTTGTAAATTTGTTTGAGTTCATTGTAGATTCTGGATATTAGCCCTTTGTCCGATGAGTAGGTTGCGAAAATTTTCTCCCATTTTGTAGGTTGCCTGTTCACTCTGATGGTAGTTTCTTTTACTGTGCAGAAGCTCTTCAGTTTAATCAGATCCCATTTGTCAATTTTGGCTTTTGTTGCCATTGCTTTTGGTGTTTTAGACATGAAGTCCTTGCCCATGCCTATGTCCTGAATGGTATTGCCTAGGTTTTCTTCTAGGGTTTTTGTGGTTTTAGGTCTAACATGTAAGTCTTTAATCCATCTTGAATTAATTTTTGTATAAGGTGTAAGGAAGGGATCCAGTTTCAGCTTTCTACACATGGCTAGCCAGTTTTCCCAGCACCATTTATTAAATAGGGAATCCTTTCCCCATTGCTTGTTTTTGTCAGGTTTGTCAAAGATCAGATGGTTGTAGATATGAGGCATTATTTCTGAGGGCTCTGTTCTGTTCCACTGATCTATATCTCTGTTTTGGTAGCAGTACCATGCTGTTTTGGTTACTGTAGCCTTGTAGTACAGTTTGAAGTCAGGTAGCATGATGCCTCCAGCTTTGTTCTTTTGGCTTAGGATTGACTTGGCGATGCGAGCTCTTTTTTGGTTCCATATGAACTTTAAACTAGTTTTTTCCAATTCTGTGAAGAACGTCATTGGTAGCTTGATGGGGATGGCATTGAATCTATAAATTACCTTGGGCAGTACAGCCATTTTCACGATATCGATTCTTCCTACCCATGAGCATGGAATGGTCTTCCATTTGTTTGTATCCTCTTTTATTTCATTGAGCAGTGGTTTGTAGTTTTCCTTGAAGAGGTCCTTCACATCCCTTGTAAGTTGGATTCCTAGGTATTTTATTCTTTTTGGAGCAATTGTGAATGGGAGTTCACTCATGATTTGGCTCTCTGTTTGTCTGTTATTGGTGTATAAGAATGCTTGTGATTTTATTTTTAGAAAGCAAATTTTGCTTAACATTTAAAAATCAATGAATGTCCTTTTATTTTAGTGTGAGCTGTGCATAGTGACTTCCTTCTAATAAGTAAAGTAGGGAAACAGGGAGATAAATAGGATAAACTTATAGTAGAGAAATCTGACAATACCTTAGACAAATGATCAAGGTCAACATCAACAGTTGTAAACCATATGGGTAGTATGTACTGTTAATATGATGTAATGAAAATTGTACATTACCTCAGTGATTTTACTACCTAAAACCCATAATCTTAATCTAATCACAGGAAAAACTTCAGAAAAATTCCAATGAGGACATTTTATTAAATACCTAATCTATACTCTTCAAACAATGGCCAAATACAAGGAAAGTCTAAGAAACTTACAGACAAGAGGAACCTAAGGTGACATGTATAAATGTAGTATGGTGCCCTGGATGGAATCCTGAAAAAAGGATGTTAAGGGAAAACCAAGGAAATCTGAATAAACTATGGATTTTAGTTAATAATATATCAATATTTTTCATCAGTTGTAGTAAACGTGTCATGGTGATCTAAGATATAATAATAGAGGACACTGGTGTAGAATATATGGTAACAGTATTTTCTCTAGTTTTCTTTAAATCTAAAGCTGCTCTAAAACTAAAGTCTATTTTAAATAAATTAAATCAATGTAATTCCTCACATGAATGAACTTAAAAAAAAAAAAGATGGTCATCTCATTAGATGCCGAAAAAGCATTGACAAAACCCATCATCCATTCCCAACAAAAACTCTCAGCAAACTGTAAATATAAGGGAACTTCCTCATGCCAGTAAAGAGTATCTGTGAAAAATATACAGCTAACATGACATTTAATGATGAGCAATTGAATGCTTTTAACCTAAGATCATAAACAAGCAAAGAAGTTCTTTCTTACAACTTTCTTCACTTTGTATGGCATGTTTTAGCCAGTGGCATTATTTAAAAAAAGAAAAAGAAAAAAGTCATCCCAATTAGAAAGGAAGAAACAAAACTACCTTATTCATTGACTATATTATCATCTGTGTATAAAATACTACTGAATTTTTTAAGGCTGCTATAACTAAGTGAATTTACCAATTTGGTATGATAGAAGCCCAATATAAAAATTCAGTTCTGTATACTAGCAAAAAACACTCAAAAATCATAATAAAATACAATTTCTGGTGACATAGAAAAAAACATAAAACACCAGGTGCAATGGCTCAGACCTGTAATCCAAGCACTGTGGGAGGCCAAGGTAGGAGGATCGCTTGAGGCCAGGAGTTCAAGACCACCCTAGGCAACATACTGAGACCTAGTCTCTAATAAATAAATAATGAAATAATATAAAAGAAAATACAAAAGACTTAGAGATCAATATAATAAAAAAAGATAAGACACGTGTACCAAAATTTACAAATCATTTTAAGAGACATTAAAGAGGAATTAAATGAATGTAGTGATGTGTTAATGAATAAAAATCCAATATTGTTTAAGAAGTCAGTTACTTGCGGCCGGGCGTGGTGGCTCACTTCTGTAATCTCAGTACTTTGGGAGGCTGAGGCAGGTAGATCACGAGGTCAGGAGATCGAGACCATCTTGGCCAACACGGTGAAACCCCATCTCTACTAAAAATACAAACAAGTAGCCAGGCATGGTGGTGGGCACTTGTAGTCCCAGCTACTCGGAAGGCTGAGGCAGGAGAATTGCTTGAACCCAGGAGGCAGTAGTTGCAGTGAGCCGAGATTGCACCATTGCACTCCAGCCTGGATGACAGAGCAAGACTCCATCTCAAAAACAAACAAAGAAAAAGAAGTCACTTACTTACAAGTGATATATGAATTTATTAAAATTTTAATCGACATTCTAATAATGTTTATGTAAAAATTGATGAGCCATTTCTAATATTCATATGGAAATACAAACCTAGATAAAACCACTTTGAAAATGAAAAACAATGTTGGAAGATTCACACTACAAATATCATTTTAAAGTTTCATTGATAAAGGCTGTGCTGACCAGAAGATAAATACTTTAATGGAATAGAATAAAATGTCCAGGAATAGATTCTTACATATATATAGTCAATGGATTTTTGACAAATATAAAAAGGCAATTCAGTACAAAAAGAAAAATTTTCTCAACAAATGATCTGAGACAATTGTATATCCACTTTCAAAAAATTGAACTTTGACCTGAAACTTTTATTATATGCATACATTAACTTGAATCATATACCTAAATATAAAATTTAAAATTATAAAACTTGTATAAGAAAATATAGGAGAAAAATTTGTTGACCTTGTTTTAGGCAAGAATTTATTTGGTGCAACATGAAAAGCATGCTATCTAACTTTTATTTTCTTTTAATTGGAGTTAATCAAAATTAAAAATATCTTTTAATCTCTCAGACTTTGAACTGGAGAGAGGGAGAATGGATGTGAATAAGAGTGCGTCTGTGTGTATGTGTGTGTGTGAGAGAGAGAGAGACAGAGAGAGAAATTGAGCTTTCCTATAACAGCCAAAGATCATGATTATGGTTCAAGACTTGAGGTTGGTTTTCTGGTTTGTATTCTTGCTTCCAGGCCTGTGGCTGTTGATTTCTACATATATTAAAAGTAGTTAAGTAATTTGGAAAAAAGATTGCAGGGATTTTGGAATTATGTTTTGGAAACATTACTTCTGTATTCTAGATTTTAGAAACTGTTACAAACTCTTTGTTCTTTGTTTGGTTCCATGCTAACCATCTACTGTTAATTTTTATACACTTTAATGGGTTAATAAAATATAATACAACAGAAAGAAAAATTAAAAACATCTACTCTTCAAAAAACAAAATAAAAAGATAATCCACAAACTTGTACTTGTATCCAGAATATATAACGAGATCTCAAAACTCAACTATAACAAATTAAATAAAGCAGTTTTAAAAATATTGTACAAACACTTCACCACTGAGAATGTGTGAATGAGAAATAAGCACCTGCAATGATGCTCAACATCATTACTCACTAAGGAAATACAAATTAAAACCACAATAAAATAACATCAAACATCTAGTAGAATGTCTAAAATTTAAGAGGAAAGCCCATAACCAATGATGGCAAGGAAATGAAGCAACTGGTAATTCCACATACTGCTGGTCAGAATGTAAAACGGTAAAATTGTTTTGAAAAACAATGTAGTAATTTCTTAAAAAGTTAAGTGTAGATCTTTCAAACAATTATATAATCCCATTCTTTGTCATTTGACAAATGCATGTTTTAATACCACACTTGCCAATAAATATTAAGAGAAGCTTTAATTCTACTTTATTTGAAAATATAAAAATGGTCCAAATACCCCTCATTAGGTCAATGGCCAAAAAAAAAAGAAGTAGTAGATACAATGGAACACTATTCAACATTAAAACATAATAAACACGTTAAATGGCTAACTGAAGGTGCTCGACACCTATCTCTTCCACAAAGAAAAATCAACACAACTATAAAACTAAACTTTAGGTAGAATATCTAAGGTACAACACTGAAATTTAGCAAGGAAGTGATGGAAACCCTCTGAAGTGCAGAAACTCAGGGTGGCAGCATAGCAAGGGAAGCAAAGCACCCAGCCAGGATTGGCTTGGAACCAAAAAGGACTCTTCATTGCAGGTAATAGGTAAGTGCTAGATCCTCAGCTGCCCCCATTACTGCCATGTGTGCCTGCTACAGAAAAGCCCCACAGTTGTCACAGACCCTGAACCCAGTATAGGGAGCTGCCTGGTGTCCACACAGCTACAATGCTGCAGGAAAGGAACTCATACTGGGTCCCCATTACCTTGGGAGCCAAGCTGCTATAGCTTGATGCCATTTTGAGAACAGAGCCACTGTTGGAATGCATCCTTCCCTGGAGGGCCAATAGCCCCTGCATCTCTACATTCCACGGGCCTTGCTATTATCTCACCACACCCACACAAAAGGCTGCAATACCACAACCCCAGTTAGACCCAGTGGTAAAACTGTTAACCTGGTACCTGTGGCCACGCATTGCTCTACACTCCAAAAAACAGATGGTCCAGCACAACGGGGAGACAACCCCCAAGACTGAGGGAACTGATGCATGCACTCCCCATTCCTAGGCCTGAGGACCAGCTGCTTGATGACCATACTGCCAGCAATCCCACCCCTTGAGGAGCAGGGCCATCATGCACTGCATATACCTTCAGAGTTTGAGGACTCTACTGACCAGTATCCACTGCTTCTTGGAAAGCTGCCCCTGTGACCAGCAAAGCTGACACACCCAGCATGTTTCTCCGTAGTGACAAAGAATCATCTCACCCAGCAGCCCCTGCCCACAGTAAAGCCAAGCCACTGCCACCACAAACACCATCAGTCTAGGCCACTGAGCCACTCACAGATACTGCTAATATTGATTACAGATGAATAAATCGCACAGGACTATAATAATGCACCAACTCAGAACCAAAGCCAAAGTACCTTACTCATCCAACACCATAGGATACAACTACAGGAAAAAGCTTTTCCTTACAAAAGCTATCCAATATAATTTGAAGAGGTGACAATTCCACCAGATGTGCAGGTATCAAGATAGGAATACACACATACACTCACATTAAGAAAAAAAAAAATCTCTAAAGAAACTAATTCTCCAATAATAGGCCCCAAAGAAAAGAAAATCTATAATATGCCTGAAAAGAAATTCAAAATAATCATCATAAGGAAATATTTCGAGATACAGAAGAGTACAGATAAACAATTCAACAAAATCAGGAAAACAATGTATAATCTGAAAGAGAAATTCAACAGAGATAGATATAGAAAAGAACCATACAGAATTGTTGGAGCTAAATAATTCAATTAATGAAATTAAAAGATATAATTGAGAGCTGCAACAGAATAGATGACACAGAAGAAAAAATTTCTGAACTTCAAGACAAGTTTAAAAAAAATCATACAAAATAGAAAAAAAAAGAAATAACAAAGTAAGCCAATGGAGTTATTGGACACCATTAAGAGAACTCATATTCGTATTATAGGAGCAACAAAAGGAGAAGCAATGGGAAATGGCATAAAAAACCTATTTAATGAAATAACAGTTGAAAACTCAAGTCTTAGGAAATATATGGATATACAGATACAGAAAGCTCAAAGTTCCCCAAATATATTCAGTACAAAAATGTCCTCTCTTAGGCACATTATATTGAAAATATCAAAAGTTAATGACAAAAAGAGAATTCTAAAACAGCAAAAGTGTCAAGTCACTCATAAAGGAATATCCATTAGACTAACAGCAAATTTCTGCAGAAACCTTACAGATGAGGTGAGAATGGGATGATATCTTCAGAGTAATGGAAGAAAAATAAAACCTGTAAGCCAAGAATATGATACCCAGTAAGCTATTATTCAGAAATGAAGAAATAAAGTCTTTCTCAGAATAGCAACTCAGAGAATTCATCATCACTAGACCAGACTTACAAAAATGCTTAAGGTAGTTCTACATCTGAAAGTGAAAAGATGATAACCACCATCATGAACCCCCTACAAAAAAAAAACTCACTTTAGAGCAAATATACAAATGAGAAAATGAAAGGAATAAAATCCTATCACTGCAGGAAACCACCAAACCACAAACATAAATAAGAGAGAATTCTTTAAAAAGATATACCAAACAACCAGAAAAAATTAACAAAATGGCAGGAGTAAGTCCTCAACTCATTAATAATAACCTTGAATGTAAATTGTATAAATTCCCCAATTAAAAGATATACACTGGCTGAATGGATATTAAAAGTAAGAATGAACTATATGCTGCCTATAAGAAACTCACTTACCTGTGTAAATACATAGGCCAAAAGTTAAGAAATGGAAATACATATTCCACCTAAATTAAAACTAAAGCCAAGCAAGAGTAGTTTTACTTACATGCAATAAAATAAGCTTCAGGTAAAAACTGTAAAAAAGAGATAAAGTTAATAAATAATAAAGGCATCAATTTTGCAAAAAGATATCAAAATCATTAAGTATATGTGCATTCAACACTAGTCAATCAGATATAAAAAGCAAATATTAGCTCTAAAGAGAGAGAGAGACACCCTAATATAGTAACTCTTGGGAACTTTAACACCACACACTCAGCATTGGATATGTCATCTAGACAAAATCAAGAAAGAAACATTAGATTTCAATTGTGCTACATACCACATGGACTGAGCAGACATTTACAGAACATTTCATCTAATGGCTCAAAATACATATTATTCTCAGCAATGCATGTAACATTATCTAGGATAGACCATATCCTAGGCCACAAAACGTAGGTCACAAAACAAGTATCAACAAATTTTTAAAAATTAAAGT
The DNA here is from genome assembly GCF_000001405.40 of Homo sapiens. Lineage (NCBI taxonomy): Eukaryota > Metazoa > Chordata > Mammalia > Primates > Hominidae > Homo > Homo sapiens. Next base: position 165,391,228 of record NC_000005.10, read on the forward strand.
CCTATCAAGTATCTTCTCAAACCACAATGGAATAAAAGTAGAAATCAATAAGAAGAGAAATTTTGGAAACTTTACAAATGCAACTTTGGAAATTACATGCTCCTGAAAGACAAATGGGTCAATGAAGAAATTAGAAGGGAAATTAAAAAATTTATTGAAGCAAATGAATATAGAAACACAACATAGCATAACCTATGGGATTACAGCAAAAGCAGTGCTAACAGAGAAGTTTATAGCAATAAATGCCATCATCAAAATGTAGAAAGGTTTCAAATAAGCAACCTAACAATGCCTCAAGGCCTGGAAACTAGAAAAGTTTCTCAAGGAATTAGAGAAAAGGAAACTAAACTGAAAATTAGTAGAAGGAAAGAAATAATAAAGATCAGAGCAAAGCTAAACAAAATAGAAAAACGTTACAAAAGATCAGTGAAACAAAAATTGGTTTTAAAAAGATAGTCCAAATCTATAAACCATTAGATAAGATAAAGAGGTAAGGCCCAAATACACAAAATTAGGAGTAAAAAAGGAGACATTATAACTGATACCACAGAAATAGAAAGGATAGTTAGGATTATTATGAACAAGTATACATCAACAAAAGGGAAAACTTAGAAGAAATTGATAAATTTCTGGACACATACAACCTACCAAGCCTGAACCAGGAAGAAACAGAAAACTGAATAAATCAGTAATGAGTAACAAGGGTGAATCAGAAACAAAAGTCTCCCAACAACAACAACAACAAAAAAAAAGCACAGGGCTGGATAGTTTCACTGGTAAATTCTACCAAACATTTAAGAATAACTAATGTCAATTCTTCTCAAACTATCCCAAAAAATACAAGAGGAGGAATTTCTTCCAAACTCATGCAGCAATGTCAGCATTATCCTAGTACCCAAACCAGAAAAGGGCACACACAAAAAATTACAGACATATATCCCTGATGAACATAGATGCAAAAATTTTCAACAAAATACTAACAAACCAAATCCAATAACATATCAAAAAATAATATGTCATGATGAACGAGATTCATGCAAGGGATGCAAGGGTGTTTCAGCATATGAAAACCAATAAATGTGATATACCACATCAATAGAATGAAAGACAAAAGCTATACGATAATCTCAATAGATACAGGCAATGCATTTGATAAAAATTAACACTGCTTCATGATAAAAAAACTCTCAACAAATTAGGTATAGAAGCAACACAATAAAGACCATAGATGTCGAATCCATAGTTAGCATCATACTAAACTGGAAAAAGTTGAGAGGTTTTTCTCCAAGAACTAGAAAAACGTAAGGATACTCACTTGTACCACATTTATTTAATGTAGAACTGGAAGTCCTAGAGAGAGCAATTAGGCAAGAGAAAGAAACAAAGGTCATCCATATTGGAGAGGAGAAAGACAAATTGTTACTGTTTATAGACAACATGGTCTTATATAGAGAAAAAACTAAAGATTCCACCAAAAAACTTTTAGAACTGATAAGTGAATTCAATAAAGTTGCAAGATGCATCAAAATATAAGCATGGGTAGCGTTTCTATATACCAGTAACAAAATGGATAAAAAAATCAAGGAAGCAATCCCATTACAATAGCTACAAACTAAATAAATTATCTAGAAAAAATTTAACCGAGAGAGAAACATCTCTACAATGAAAACTATAAAATATTGGTAAAAAAGAGTACACACACACACACACACACAAAATAAAAAGACATCCCATGTTTGTGGATTGGAAGAATTAATTTTTTAAATGACCATATTACCCAAAGTGATCTACAGATTGAATACTATCCCTATCAAAATACCAATGACACTCTGCACAGAAATAAAAAAACAATCCCCACATTTTTATGGAACCACAAGAGAACCCAGATAGCCAAACCAATCCTGAGCAAAAAGAGCAAAGCTGGAAGCATCCCACTATCTGACTTTAAAATGTACTACAAAGCTGTTGTCACAAAATAGCATGGTACTGACATAGAAACAGACATAGATGGACTGGAACAGAGGACTCAGAAATAAATCTACCTATTCACAACCAACTGATATTTGACAAGGGTGCCAAGGACATACATTGGGGGAAGAAAACAGTATCTTCAATAAATGGTGCTAGGAAAACTGGATATCAATATGCAGAAAAATGAAACTAGACCCCTATCTGTCACCATATCAAAAAATGAAATCAAATAGGTGGAGTCTTAAATGTGAGACCCAAACTATGAAACTCCTGGAACAAACATAGGAGAAATACTTCCAGACATTGGTCTGAGCAAAGATTTTATGGGCAAGACTCTGAAAGCACAGGCAGCAAAAACAAAAATAGACAAATGAAACTATATCAAACTAAAAAAGCTCTGCACAGCGAAATAAATGATCAACAGAGTGGAAAGACAGCCTGCATAACAGGAGAAAATATTTGCAGATTATTTATCTGACAAGAAACTAATATCCAGAATATTCAAGGAACTCAAACTTCAAACAAACATATAATCCAATTTAAAAAATGACCAAATGTTCTAAATAGACATTCTCAAAAGGAGACATACCAATTGATAACAGGTTTATGGGGGGAAATGCTTAACAACACTAATAATCAGAGAAATTCAAATAAAAACTACCATGAGAAATCATCTTACCTCAGTTAAAACGACTATTAGCAAAAAGATAAAAAATAACCAATGTTGGTGAGGATGTGAAGAAAGGGGAAGTTTTACACACTGTTGGTGGGAATGTAAATGGATACAGCTATTATGAAAAAAAGTTTTGAGGTTCCTCTAAAATCGAAAAATAGAACTAAGATATGATTCAGCAATTCCACTACTGAGTATATATTCAAAAGAAAGGAAGTCACTATCAAAGAGACAGCTATCAAAGAGGTAGCTGCACCCTCATGTTTATCAGAGCACTATTCACAATAGCTAAGATGTCCATCCACAGATGAATGGATAGAGAAAAGGTGGTATATATTCACAAGGAAACACTATTCAGCCATAAGAAAGCATGAAGTCCTGTCATTTGTGGCAACGTCAGTGGACCTGGACGATATCGAGTAAAGTGAAATAAGTCAGGCACAGATAAATAAATTCTGCATGTTCTCACTCTTTTGTTGCAGTGAATAAATTGGGTTTCATAGAAGTAAAGAGTAGAATATTTGCTACTAGAGGCTAGGAAGGGCAAGGGAGAGATGAGTATAGGGAGAGGCTGGATATTGAATACAAAATTATACGGCTAGATAGGAGGAAAAAGTTCTAGTGTTCTATAGCCCTGTAATGTGACTATGATTAACAATAAAAATTTATTATATATTTTCAAGAGCTAGAAGAGAGGATTTTCATGATACATGATACATGTTTCAGGTAAAAAATATGTTAATTACCTTGATTTGATCATTTTTTCATTGTAAACGTGTTAAAATATCACACTATACCACATAACGAAACACAATTATTATGTGCCTATTAAAAATGATAATAAAAATGTCTTCACTTTTAAATAAATTTACCTTTTTTTATTTAAAAAATTAAAAATTGCAACCAGCCTGGACATGGTGAAACCCTGTCTCTACCAAAAATACAAAAAAATTAGCCAAGAGTGGTGGTGCGTGCCTGTAGTCCCAGCTACCTGGGGGGCTGAGGCAGGAGGATCGTTTGAGCAGGGGAAGCAGAGGTTGCAGTGAGCTGAGACTGCACCACTGCACTCCAGCCTGGGTGGCAGAGCGAGATCTTGTCTCAAATAAATAAATAAATAAATAAATATTAAGGAACATCATCTATTTATACATACAACAACATGAATGAATCTAAAAATAATTATGCTTAATTTAAAAAGCCAGGAAAAAGAGAGTACATAATGTATTACATTTTGGTTGTCCAGGAACGGAGTGTGGAGGGAAAAAGTGTTTGGTAAGAGTGAGATGTAGATGTTACCAAAGGGCACAAAGACTCTTTTGGAAATGACGAACATGTTTATTTTGTTGATTATGATGATGGTTTTGCCACTGTATAATAATCATATACTTTAAGTGTATGCAGTTTATTCTATATCATTTACATCTCAATAAAGATGATTTAAAAAATTAAAGACAGGAAGACCAGTCGGGGGGAGTTGAGGAAGTATGAGTGTGTGTGAATGTGTGTATATGCATGTTGTATTTTAACTTCCTAAAGTACTCTCTCTCTCTCTCTCTCTCTCTCTCTCTATATATATATATATATGTATATATATATACACACACTTATACATATTTATATATGAAGAATATATATTTAGTTGTTTCTAGGTGTTTGTCTTGCTCCTCCAGCACTCCAGCAGTTCTGTTTGACTTGGCATTGTGATTATTCTGATTTTTATCTTGCTATTGGGATTCCTGAGATAGTCTGTTGTTCTGTTACTCACTAAGCTCAATTCTTTTTTTTTTTTTTTTTTTTTTGAGACGGAGCCTTGTTCTGTAGCCCAGGCTGGAGGGCAGTGGCATAATCTCGGCTCACTGCAAGCTCCGCTTCCCGGGTTCACGCCATTCTCCTGCCTCAGCCTCCTGAGTAGCTGAGACTACAGGCACCCGCCACCACGCCAGGCTAATTTTTGTATTTTTAGCACAGACGCAGTTTCACCATGTTGGTCAAGCTGGTCTCGAACTCCTGACCTCGTGATCCTCCTGCCATGGCCTCCCAAAGTGCTGGGATTACAGGCGTGAGCCACCGCGGCCGGCCTAAGCTCAATTCTTGTTGTGGGAGTGTCTAACATTGCAGTTATCCTGTGTATGGTGGAAGGAATAACATTCCTTTGACACTGAGTTTTGTAGAGTTGTCATCCTTTAGATTGGCACTCTTCCAGTGCTCAGGTCAGAGAGACTCAGCTGTCCTGGCTTGGAATTCATGGAGATGTTTGATCCTTTTGGAGTTCAAGCATACTCATGCACATTCAATAGTGACCACCCTGTAAGAGGTCTACAAGTTCTATAAATTGAGAACTTTTACCAGGATTTGCTGCCTTCTTGTCCTTGCCTTTGCCACTTAATGTAATCTTGTCCCTCTCAAGAACTTCTGAGAGGAAGACCCCATCACATTTCTGCCATGATTTTAGCAAAGCCCGATGTTATCACCACACTGAGTAACCTACATGTCCAAATAGCTGCTTCACTCTTAAGTGTGTCAGAGTTAGAAGTGCAGATAATCCAATGTTGTCATAATTTCCCAGGTACTGCAAGAGTCTTGTTTTCAAAGAAAAGCAATAACCATGTTTATGATGGTCTAAAGGACTTACACACTTCTCCTGAGAGTGTCGCTTAGATTGTACAGATCCATGTTGTCTATGTATTCATAATACTTCCCATTAGAGCTTTATTTTTAAAAACAATTGGTTCTTTTAATCTGTAATGGAACATGGACTCACAGACTGTCAATAATTAAAATTAAACCTTATTTGTCTTTTAATATAGTGCTATGTTCTTGTGTAATTGAGTAGGGATCGATGCCAGTTGTGTGATGGACAGTAAACTTATACAACATGACAGAGATAGATTTCCAAGAAGACAGAATGTGATGTTTTTATGTACAAGGGGGATGAGCAGACGATATCAGCAACATTTAATTATTCTGTAGGTAATTATTCATTTGAGGAACACAACTTTTCAGAGAAACAGAAAAAAAGATAGACCAATAATACAATTACTATTTGTCTAAGTATACTGGTAGAAAACCATAATTAATTTTTCATTAAACTTGCATGAGGTGATTTTTTTAAGTAAGTAACAAGAAGTTAAATGCATGCATTTAAGAGCAGAAAGTTTGATATGAGTTAACATTGTAACGTAGGGTGATTTTTTAGGCGAAAGTGCAACAAGTGATAATTTTTCAGATTGAAATTAAAAGCTAATCAGAGCTTTAAAAAAAGTCACTTAAAATGCAAAGTTTCATGAAACATATTTTGATAACCCAATATAAAATTCCATTATGAATATTTTCTTGTCTTACTTGTGGGCTAAATTTTAAGGGTTTATTAATGTGCCTTCAATTATGAGAGCTCAGTTCCTATGATTATTATTGCATCCCCAGAACAATACATAACTATTTGTATTGTTTGCTAAACCAAGCTTTTCAATGTGCTCTTACTATTATTAATGGAAAAGAAAAAAAGCACTATTTGAGAAGTGTAGAAACTATGTCCAAACATGTGTCCTTAAGCAGAAAGACTCACTATTTAATTTTCCAGAGCAAAGAATCACTTCAAAAATGTAAACTGAATAATTGAAATGGAAAGCTGGATTCCTGCACTCATACAACTCAATTTTTACTTGAATTAACTTCTTTCTAGGTAAAAAATATTTTATTTCTTATAATGATTTCATAAAACTTACCAATACAGACTAAAGACTGTTTCCCTTGAACTACAAAGGCATTTGCACTCAATCATTTTCACCTGATAAAACCATACCCTTGTTCAAATACAACCTGCTGCCAAACCACACCTGCACCTGCACAAGTGAACACAGGTGGAGAAACACACACAACTCGTGCTCTGCCATGTTCTCAACTGACTATTTTAAGTCTCCCTTTCTCAAATCTCAGTTCTGGCTTCCAGCAGAAGCACTCAGAAGAGAATGTCCATAAACCTCTACCACTATGTACCCTGAACTATCCTCTTCTTGCCAAACACTCTGCTTTCCTGGAATACTCTGAATGACTGATGGTTCTGGCTAAGGCCAACACATTTCTTGTGCATAGAATTTCTTCTGTTGCTTGCCTTAGACCATTAGTCCAGCAACTCTCCCCTCTTTGTTCTACATTATTATTTTCCTCTGTTACGAACAAAAAAGAATTCAAACTTTGAGATAAGGCAAGAAGATTATTTTGTGCTCTCCTAAAGTAGTACTAGAGTACTTTCTAAGAATTTTACTTAGGAGCTATTTAATCCTTGGCATTTTCTCTAAGCTCTTTGGTATTTTTCCTAAAATTTTTATTTAAAACTTTTCAAACATATTGCAGATTAAAAGAATCTTACATTGAACAACTCATGACCAAATTGATAATATTTTACCATGCTTGTTTTCTCACCTATCAATCTATCAATCTACTTTACTTTTCATCCATTAATTGATCTGATATTTGGTGCATTTTAAAATAACATAAAATCAGTAAACTTCAGGCCTGTAATTTTGTTAGATTTACTATCTACATTGGTTATATCCCCAAACCTGTAAAATTAGACATGAACTTGTGAATTGATAAATTTCAAATTATTTCATCTGTAAAGATACACATTATTTCTATCCCCCAGGGAAAAAAAATGATCCCAAAGGTAATAATAGGTCAGTTGCTGTAAGGTATCAGTCAGTTTTTTATATAATTTTGCAATCTTGTTCCTACATTCTTATTTCTAAACTCCTATCTTTTTCTAAATCTTCTTTACCACCTACTGATTTTCTCATTAATAAGTTAAATAAAGAGTTGACAATCATTTGTTTGAGGATAACTTTTTTTAACTTTTTGAAATTTGTATTTTCACACCCTCTATCAAATGTTTTTCATCATCACTTAAATATGCTATAATTTCTTCCACCTTAAAATATTATTCTACTTACCCCACTTTCATCTGTAGTTACCACTCCATTTATTTGTTTTACAGCAGAACTAATCAAAGAATTAATGCTCTCCCATATTCTCCTGAACTCACACTAGTCAGGTTACCTCCATCAACTCTTTATCAAGCTATCTCATCAAGATCACCAATCTCTCCACAATGTTGAATCCATTATTCCATTCCACATTTCACTCATCAGCAACATTTCATGCCAGTTAACATTCGTTTTCCTTGAAACGCTTTCATCCTTGACTTCCAGAGCATCACTTTCTCCTGGTTTTTATCCTCTGTCTCTGGATGCTCTTAATCTCCTTTGCTGGTTTCTTCTCCTCTCCCAGACCTCTAAATGATGATTGCTCCAGCGTAAATCTGAGGTACATGGATCTTAATGGATTTGGCTTGTGCTGTACTTTCAATCAGCATGTAATCAAATACGATTTAAAAAAAAATCAGCTGGTTACTGGCCATTGTAGAAATGTACTATTGATCTTTTGCATTCTGCAAGTATTGATCTCTACAAAAAATTTCGTCGAGTAGCAGTGAATTTAAATTAATTACATTAAGCAATCAGATATATCTGTTATACTGCAATTTCTAACATAACTGGGTACTAGTCTACTGATAAACAAAGTAGAACTTTTATTCTAACCATATCTTCATAGTACTTGCAAATACTGGATTTATTATTATAATTACGGTAGACATTGTTTTGTAATTTGAGACTTTTCAACTACCCTAAGATCTCAAAACAATTTTTTTAATTACATTTTTTAAAATATAGGAATATTTAATATAAATTTACCCTTTAAATGTGTATTTTTAAAGTATACTAATTTTAGTAGCATATCTCCAAATTCAACAGGAGTTTGCACATCCTCTTGGAAATGTTCTGGTAAACTGAAAAGGCGATTTAATTGTAATTTTTAATTCTTTGACTCTCTAGCTTGACCGAAACTTAAAACCACCAATATAGGCAGTGGTTACCATTTTGCATTTGAATCTCTACTTGAAGTTTCTAATTCTTTTGTCTGAGTTCTAGCTAATGTGTGTTCTTTGTTAAGAATGGGGGACTTTAAGTTATAGCGTAGTACCACTCTGGTCATTTTCACCAGAGTTCAAAATTCTCTCAGAAAATACCTAGTTGGTTTGGGGATACATCATTTCTTGGCAAATCAGAATTTTCTTAAAAACTTCAAAATAAGTGATAGAAGTTTCTGTTTTATCACACCCATGATATCTGTAGGCTTTATGCACATTTGTCCATATCTCTCTAAATTAATGAGGGATTAAATAATCCTTTTATGTAAGTTTAAATGCACAAATGAAGCATGTGCTTCAGAAAAATAGCCATAATAGGTTATAGATGTTTTCACATTCTGTGGCCATTATCCCATGTGTTTATAAAGTCCCTCTTGTGCAATTGTCTCTGTGACCTATAAGCTTAAATAGTCTTACCACAAATATAATTTTTGTAAGCCTCAACCATATGCTGTGTCTTCTAAATCACTCACATTTTAGCTCTGAATAACTTTAGATTGTTTTCAAAAATAAGTAAAATACTCCAGGAAAAATTATTTGGATCATTAAAAAATACTTAAATAACATGCTATGAAAATCTGTTTTCAAAAAAGAAGTGACATGATTTTGAGCAAAGACAGCATCACTGGAAAACATATAATCACTCAATATGACTGTATATATCCATATTCTTGGATTTCTAGCTTTTGATATATTCTAAGGATAATCGTTTCTCACATATAATCAATAGAGGTTCTATGTGTCTGGATTTAAGACTGCATTTAAGCAAATATATTACACTTTCTGAATTTGGAGATTGAATAATAGGCTCATTTTCCATTTAATTTGTTCTAGGCCAAGGAATCATTCTTGGTTTATTTGTGGAGTGAAGCCAGCTATGTAATTTTTATCTTGGGGATAGGGGACTTCTAGATGTGGAATGTACCCATCTTCATCCCTGCAAGAAATCTGCTGCAAACCCTGTCAGTTTATGGGTGCTCAATGAATGTGAAAGAAGAAGAATGTCAGTCTCATCTGAAGAACTGCAGAGTTAAACAAAGTTTCAGAGAAAGCTGGGAATTTGGGCTCCTTCACAATAGCAATCATCCTGAAAAGTATCTATGTGGAATTTTAAGGAAATTAGATCTTTCTACTTGTTATAGATACCTTCTCTAGTGTCTTTAACTTCAGTTTTAGGCAAAATGACTTATTAAATCAAAGTATACACTTTCAATTTGTAATAACAATGTATCACTTTAGGCAATACTACATTTATGAAGAAATAATGCTCTTAAAGATTAAAGTCTCCTGTCCCTCCCATGACTGCTTTCAAACACACCAGAGGCATGAAATACGTACTCAAATATACTATCTTCTTGTCCTAATACTCAGTAGTCCCTAATTCTGCTCACATGTATTTAACTAGGTCAAGCCATTTTTCTCGTTTTCAAAGGAATTCCACTGATAACTTAAAGAAATATCCCCTGGTCAAGTCTAAGAGTTTCTCTTGGTTAAAGTTCTACGTTATTTTTCCCGCATATGCTTCCTAGTACTGCACTGAAATGAATGAACCAACACAATGCCTAATCCTTGGAACCTATTGATCAGGTCACTCGTCATCTTACTCATACAAATACTGCTACCATTTGGGAGATTTACATCTTGCAACTACTTTATTGTAGATTTTATTTTCATATGAGAGTAGTTCCTTTGCTGGCACCAACTACAAGAAATATTTCATTACAACAACCCTCGAGAATCTTTTAAACACATTTTAAATGCATATTTTATCTTTCTTTTTCAGTAATCAGATAGCATGCGATCAAAAGCAGATGTCTTTTGAAAGAGCTCAGTCCTGAATTCATGTTTTTTAAAAAATCAAGAAAGACTGTGAAATAAAAAATAATAAAATAAAATCCTTATTGATTTTAGCACGAACATTCAGACTGTGAAGGGCCATCCCATCAGGAGAAAAACCTCAGTACTTTATTTTTGTTTTTTAGGACATGATTTTAAGTAAACTTTGATTATCATTGGCTTGGTTTGAAAACTTATCAATTCTTTCAGAAGTAAGATTTCCTTTGAATGCCAGTCATTTCATCTTTTAACTTTGTGTGACATAGGGTGGAGGCGCTGAGTGGAAGCTGACAGAAATTTTACAGTAAAATGAGAATACTGTAATCAGCTTATGGGTGACTATTTATCAAGAGTCAACAGTCAGTGGAGCGAGGAATAGAAAAGATCCTGGGGGGTGTGGTGAATTACCAAAAATCTGGATTCAAATTCAGGAAGCTATTTTATCCTCTCTAGGATCGTTTGCCCAGCTACAAAATAGATGAAAGTCAAGCAATCACTTTTTTAAGTTGTCACATATTTTAATGAGCAATAAAATATCGTGTTACCTTATATGATGTTATCTTTGCATATGCAGCTATCAATTTGTTTATTTTTTAGTGATAAGAAGTTTATTTTTTTCTTTCGAAGAAGTTTTTCCTTTTTAAATGGGTTATGGAACATGCAATCTTGATTACTAGAATTTATTTATTTATCGGATATTTATATTCCTCACTCAAAAATGGTCCACCAGCTGCTGCCAGTGTAAGAATTGTTCATTGCTTATCTGCAATGTGATGCACACAGAAATGAAGAATGACCATTTAGAAACTGTTTTTAACAGTTTGACATTGTTGTGTCATCCATGTGTGATAACATTTTTCTAGTAATTCTTGTATTTACAAAAGTATCACATCGCAACTGATAGGAAATTAAACAACAATCACAAGCTGGTGCTTTTTCACAGCAGTCTTAGAAGCACTGCCCTATAGACTTCAAATGATGCCGTGCAGTGCACTGATCTATCTACCTATATATATAATAACATTTAGGGCACTGCATCTTTTTGCTTACTTTTTAGTGCCCTACTCTAATACCAATAGTGTTGGGATAAGAGAAATGCAGAATAATGAAATGAAAGTAAAGGGAATAATTGTCTTCTTTCCCTTTTAGTTAATAATTACACTATTATCAATTACATCCACTGCTTTAAAAAATATAAAATAACTGCTAATCCTTCTAATTATTGTTCTTTCATGTTTCCCACCAGAAAAGAACTTCAGTTTGTTAGACGACATTTTCTACAATGGGCATTCATTAAGTCAAGGTCATATAACATTTTAAATTAAAGTTTAAATTAAAGTTATTTAAGTATCAATTTAATATAATTTTTTTGAAATTGTTGGATGTTTGAAAATATTTATTAAAATATAAAATCTTCTTGGATGTGATAAACCACCTATGCTTTGGTGTTTTCTGACTCCATTGGAATGTATTCAGTCAATTCATTTCTTTGGCATAGAAGAAGGCCTTAGTGAATGCTACTGTAAAAACTGTAATACCTCCTGGGAGAAAATGAAATAAGATTTAAGTAACTATGTGTAAGTCAGATACAATGAAAGAAAATAAAAAAGAGAGAGCTTGGCAGCCTCTTTGGAGAGATGCAGAATATTGTCTAATCAATTTTGTACCTACCCCTTCCTGTTGCCTCCTAAACTCTAAACAGAAAAATCATACTCGAATACGTATATTGAGGCTGGGCACAGTGGTTTACACCTGCAGTTCGAACACCTTGGGAGGCCATGGCAGGAGGATCGCTTGAGTCCAGGAGTTTGAGACCAGCCTGGGCAGCATGGTGAAACCCCATCTCTACAAAAAATACAAAAAATTAGCCGGGCATGGTGGTGCATGCCTGTGGTCCCATCTACCCAGGGGGCTAAGAAGGGAGGACTGCCTGACCCCGGGTGGTAGAGGCTGCACTGAGCCACAATCATGCCACTGCACTCCAGCCTGGTCCACAGAGTAAGACCTGTCTCAAAAAAAAAAAAAAAAGAACTTAAAATTATAAAACGGGATTAAATAAAAATAAAATAAAATAAAATAAAATACACATGTTATCTTGCATAGGAAAGCCAAGAGAAATGAAACAAAATAAAAATTTCAATTTAGGGAATTCGAGAAAGTGAATTAAGAGATGGATTGTAATATGTTGAGCCCCTCATTTCACCTGAAATAATCTTTAAATAAATCCTGGAGATAAATGTTTGCTAAAACTATTTCCTAAAAGTTGCATACGGTGTTCGACATGTTCATGTTCTTTGACAACTATAATTGTTTAAGTTAAGCCACTTCAAACTCATTTTTATAAATTTATGCTGAGAATAACCAAGTAAAATGTCCATTGTTAACATAAAACTCAAAATATATGTTTCACATTATGTCATTGTTGCATGTCTGTAATTGTTTGATGGCTTCATTAATGATCACCATTAAACTTAAATCTAGTAAAGCAAAATGTCCTTAGCCCACAGTCTCACAGTTACCAAGGTGATGTTACCATCAAAACCATATGAATGGAAACAGCCTCAAGGTCAGTTTATCTGGGTAAAAACATTGCGAAGTCCTTTGGCTTTGTAGGATTAATATTTACAATTCTTCATTGAGTACCTAAATGAAGATGGTCGATCATTCTAATATTAATTTTTGAATGTATTGAAAATGTGGTAACTTAACTAGCAAATTCTCTTAAGACTCAATCTCCTGTGCGAAAAAAGTCTAACAACTGTTAGAAACTCCAGTTACCTACCTGTAAGTTATTATAGCAATATAATAATAATAGAATAGCAAAAATACTAATATTAATAGTATTGTATTTTGAACATTTATTATAAACCAAGAACTTTGCTGATCTATTTTTTGTATCTATACATATATATGTGTATGTGTGTGTATATATGTATATAATATACAACCTCATTTAATCTTTACAACAATTATACCATCAAAAACTTTCTCTTATTTTACAGATGAAGAAATTATAGCATAGGGCAATTAATTATCTTGTTGAAAATCATATGTATAGCAAAATGGCAAATCTAAGAGGGTGCCATGTTCTGGCCAGAGTTGGTTCATGGTTTTAACCTATTCTGTTTGGGAATGCATGATGGATTTTGAAAGGAATACTAAAAAGAAAAAAGAAAACAAAGAAAGAGTGTGAGAGAGAGAGAGAAGAGAGAGAGAGGAAGGGAGGAAGGGAAAGGAGGGAAGTCAGTCATTAGGAATACACTTTTACCACTTAATGTTTCCCTTACAATATATTTGCCAGAATTGAACATAATCTTTAAGAGTTTTCCAGAAGATAATTTAGTGTTGTTACCCCATCATCTTTATACAAATCTCTATTAGAATAGTCAAAATCCTGTTTGCTTTTGAATCACGTCATCATATGTTTAGTGTGTATCAACCTTTTACGTGTCATGACAAATAGGGATTAAGCATTGTACTTGAAAGTTATTTTGTAAACTTACTAGATGTCACTAATATTTATTTATAAGAGGAAATATACTATTAACTATGCTCCTAATTTTAAAAAAATTCCACAGTATCTTTATACAGATTGAGTTAATTAAAGCTAGATCAGAGATGTCATAGTGAATTAATTATCCAAATTGTTTGTGGATAAAATCAACCACTGTGGAAAACATAGTTTAGACTTTCAAGTGAGTACAAACATTTTTCTACAACAAATATTTTAACAAATGTAATTTATTGTAACATTCAGACTTATCTAGGAAGAATTTAAGAAAACTTTCACAATTTCAGCAAAACTTTGCCCTTCTAAGGAAATAAACTTTTACAGAAATTTAATTTCATAATAAAAGGTTACACAATAAGAGCCTACTTAAAATAAGTTGCATAGTAACTGATATGTAAATATTTCCTAATCACTTCCCTCCCTTAATCTAGCTAATATGCTGTAATGGGTATTTTAGAATTTGTCAGCTCAAAGCTTTCCTGTCAACAAATATCTATTATTTTAAGGTTCTCCATTACTTTGGAGATCGATCTGTTCCTGTTTCCTTTACTTTCTAGCCAAACTCCTCCTGGTCAACTTCCTTAGTGACTTTGTTTGTAGGAAGTGCCTCAATCATATTTTCTTGAACAAATACTTAAGCAGTCAATGTTTATTTTCATTGAAATATATCCTGTTGCATTGGATCAATGCTATGTATCCAGTTTTGCCTATCTATGAACTTAAGTTTAAAAAATACTAAGGTAGAATACTGACTTAAACCCTGCTATGTTATCCTTGCAAACTGTTACTAAATCAGTTCTATTGTTGCTCTTGTTGTTTTTTTGTTTGTTTGTTTTCTTTTTGGTCTTCCAGGTCCTTTTCTTATTGAGCTACTCAGCCCTTTTATCAAGGGGCAACCATAGCTCCAAAAGGCTGATAAGTATTAGTCTAGTGCAGTGATTTTCTTTTTTTTTTTTTAACTTTTATTTTAAGTTCAGGGGTACATGTGCCGGATGTGCAAGTTTGTTACATCAGTAAATGTGTGTCATGGGGGTTTGTTGTACAGATTATGTCATCACCCAGGTATTAAGCCTAGTATTGATCAGTTATTTTTCCTGATCCTCTCCCCCTTCCCTCCCTCCACCCTCCAGTAGGCCCCAGTGTGTGTTGTTCCCCTCTGTGTATCCATGTGTTCTCATCATTTAGCTCCCACTTATAAGTGAGAACATGCATTATTTGGTTTTCTGTTCTTGTATTAGTTTGCTGAAGATAACAGCTTCCAGCTCCATCCATGTCCCTGCAAAGGACATAATCTCATTCCTTTTTATGGCCACATAGTATTCCAAGGCGTATATGTACCACATTTTCTTTATGCAGTCTATGCTTGATGGGCATTTGGGTCGATTCCATGTCTTTGCTTTTGTGAATACTGCTGTAATGAATATATGCATGCATGTATCTTTACAGTAGAATGTTTTATATTTCTTTGGGTATATACCCAGTAATGGGATTGCTGGATCTAATGGTATTTCTGTCTCTAGGTCTCTGAGGAATCACCACACTGTCTTCCCAATGATGGAGCTAATTTACCCTCCCACCAACAGTGTAAAAGTGTTCCTTTTCTTCTACAACCTCAGCAGCATCTGTTATTTTTTTGACTTTTAATAATAGCCATTCTGACTGGCATGAGATGGTATCTCATTGTGGTTTTTATTTCCATTTCTCTGATGACCAGTGATGTTGAGCTTTTTTTCATGATTGTTGGCCACATGTATGTCTTCTTTTGAGAAGTGTCTGTTCATGTTCTTTGCCCACTTTTTGATAGGGTTGTTTGTCCTGTTCTTGTAAATTTTTTTAAGTTCCTTGTAGATGTTGAATATGACGCCTTTGTCAGATACATGGTGATATGGTTTTGCTGTGTCCTGACTCAAATCTCAACTTGAATTATATCTCCCAGAATTCCCACATGTTGTGGGAGGGACCCAGAGGGAGGTAATTGTATCATGGGGGCCGGTTATTCCCATGCTATTCTTGTGATAGTGAATAAGTTTTATTAGATATGATAGGTTTATCAGGAGTTTCCACTTTTGCTTCTTCCTCATTTTTCTCTCGCCACCACCATGTAAGAAGTGCCTTTCACCTGCCACCATGATTGTGAGGCCTCTCCAGCCATGTGGAACTGTAAGTCCAATTAAACTTCTTTTTGTTCCCAGTTTTGGGTATGTCTTTATCAGCAGCGTGAAAACAAACCAGTACACATTGTTGGTAAAAGTTTTCTCTCATTCTGAAGGTTGTCTGTTTACTCTGTTGAAAGTGTATATGGTTATGCGGAAGCTCTTTAATTCGATCCCATTAATCAATTTTTGCTTACATTGCAATTGCTTTTGGCATCTTTGTCATGAAATCTTTACCCATGCCCAGGTCACAAATGGTATTGCCTAGGTTTTCTTCTAGAATTTCTGAAGTTTATGGTTTTAAATTTAAGTCTTTAATCTGTCTTGAGTTGATTTGTATATGGAGTAAGGGAGGGGTCTAGTTGCAATTTTCTGACTTGATGTTATATCTAGAAAACCTCATTGTTTTAGCCCCAAAGCTTCTAGCCGATAAGCAACTTCAGCAAAGTTTCAACATACAGAATTAATGTGCAGAAATCACTAGGATATCTACACATGGACAGTCAAACCAAGAGCTGAATCACAAATGAATTATCATTCATAATTGCCACAAAAAGAATAAAATATCTAGGAATACAGCTAACAAGGGAAGTGAAGGATCTCTACCAGGAGAACTACCAACCACTGCTCAGAGAAATCAGAGAGGAACACAAACAAATGGAAAAACATTCCATGCTCATGGATAGGAAGAATTAGTATCGTGAAAAGGGCCATATTGCCCAAAGCAATTTATAGAGTCAATGCTTTTCCCATTAAACTCATTGGTATTCTTCACAGAACTAGAAAAAAATATTTTAAAATTCATATGGGAAAAAAAAAAGAACCTGAATAGCCAAGACAGTCCTAAGCAGAAAGCAGAAAGCTGGAGCTTTCTGATTTCAAACTATATTACAGGCCTATAGAAAACAAAACAGCATGGTACTGGTACAAAATCAGACACATAGAACAATGGAACAGAGTAGAAAACCCAGAAATAAGACCTTCCACCTACAACCGTATGATCTTTGACAAACTTGACAAAAACAAGCAATGGGGAAAGGATTCCCTGTTTAGTTAGTGGTGCTGGGGTAAGAGTTCAAAACAGACACACACACTCTCACACACACACACACAAACAGCAACTCACTAGACAAATCCGCCCCGCAGATATGTTTGGTTTGGACTATGCAATATTTGTAATATGAATTAGTTACTAACATTTAAAAATTGATTGCATTAAATGAGAACATCTGAGAACATTTGGCTTTGCTTGAAGAATCTAAAGATGTGGCTAAATTGGGCCTGCATTCTATGTCAATTTTCATGCAAATATTGACCAGAACTAGATTGAAGCTGCTTCCTGTACATGGGTACAGGAACCCTCTGCTTCATTCCTTTCCCCATCTCTCCCCTGAAGCAACTGCTCTTAAACCATTTGTGGTACTGCCTGGCCCCTGCAAGCATTTGGGTTTGTAATCCTAAGTATTTAAAACATTTGCTCCAACAATAGCAAAATGTGAATAACACACCAGACGTGGTACACTTTATATGTATGGAAATTATGAACAACATAATAAATGTTCTGCAAAATAAAACTATTCTATATTAGGGCACAACAGCTGTGAATCATTTTAGAGCTTCCCAAGAATATATATTCAGTTTTAAATTTCCTAATTTTGCTGTGTGCTTTCAGGTCTTAATGAAAAAAAAGAGCCAACATGTAAAGAAAGTGACTAAAGGCTGAGCATAGTGGCTCATGCTTGTAATCACAGCAGTTTGGGAGGCCCAGGTGGGTGAATCACTTGAGCTCAGGAGTTCAAGGCCAGCCTGTGCAACATGGTGAAATTCCATCCCTACAAAAACATACAAAAATTAGCTGGGCATGTTGGTGGGCACCTGTAGTCTCAACTACTAGCGAAGCTGAGGTGGGAGAATCACTTGAGCCCAGGAGTTGGAGGTTGCAATGAGCTATGATCACACCACTGCACTCCAGCCTGGGAAACAGAGTGAGACCTTGTCTCTGAAAAAAAAAAGAAAAAAAAAAAAAAAAAGAAAAAAAGTGACTAACTAGGGGATAAATTAGCAAACAGAAATTTAAATTTTGTTTTCTAAGGTTTAGAAATGACAGTTGATAACTTTGATGATTTTAAAAGAACCATTTTTCTCGTATATTTCTATTGACGAAGGTAATGTATTAAACTTGTTGAATAACCTTAAATAGCAGTCAAAATGTGGACTTGGTGGATTTTTAATGTGTAGTATACCACTATATGCATGGGCAGGTTACACTAAGTCACCAAAGAGGGAAAATGTTGAAAAAAGAGAGGAGGAAAATAAACCTACTTGTAAATTCTCGGTTTTAATATTATTTTGTCAAGTATAATTTGTTAAACTGGGACTTTTCTTTCTATTGTAAGTCTCAATATAGCCACGTTTCTGCATGCTAAGTGCTGAAAAATTTATGAAAGGCATACATGTGGCAATTCAAATTTATTTTCATTCATTGTTAAGTAACAATGACAACAGAAGACAATAATAAACAATAATAAAGCTGAGAAGTGAAATATAATCAAAATTAAGCTTGCTAAATTACTTCTACATGTATTTTTGCTAATTTTTCCTACTGCATGTTTTGATCAACCTTGTGCTTAGGCAATCACAAGTCTAGAGGCACATTTAATCCACTATGTAGCATCTTACTGATGCAGGGCAGATGAGTCCCAAAACTGGGGCTTAGCCTAGTAGGGTTCTTGGCTTTGCCCAGGAAATAATTCAAGGTTGAGCAGTGGTGTTACACAGCAACTTTTACTGAAGCAACAGTACACAGCAGCAGCAGAGGTACTGCTCTTTGTGGGGCTAGGCAGGGTGCCCAGAGTAGCAGCACGAAGGCAGTTCTGCAGTCATATTTATACTCACTTCTAATTTCATGCATATTAAGGGGCAGATAATGCAGAAATGTCTAGGAAATGGATAGCAACTTCTGGGTCATCTAGTCATTGCCATAGAAAGAGGCAGTAACTTCCAGGTGTTGCCATGGCAATGGTAAACTGACAAACTCTGGTGGATGGAATTTATAGAAAGCTGCTTCCACTCCGTCCCATTTTAACTAGTCTCAATTTGGTCCAATGTTCGAACCCCATCCCCGAAGTTGAGTCCCACTGCCTACCTCCTTACTATTTGTTAAGACTGACTATACAATCTTTGTACATTGAATTGTGCATCTAATCTGCATTTTAAAAATGCAGACTGGGGATTCCCCTCTAGGTTTAATAAAAACTTAAGAGTTGTGACACCAGTATCCAATGTGGTAAAATTGCTTAAAACTAAAAGCTGCATCATGTCCCAAGGGACTGACAAACTTAAAGTGATGAAACACTATAAGGTATAAGAATAAACTCACAATACTGATGAAACACACAGTAAGAGGAATTCAAAAGTGTGGGCTCTACATAAAATCAGTAAATATGTTAGAGAATAAGTGCAACTATTCTCTCATTCATTTCTTTATTTGCATTATTATCCATTAGGAAAAATGTTGGGTCTTGTTTTAGTTTTGGTCTATCCTTTAAGATGTATGTTCCATTAATTTATTCTACTTAAAAATAAGTTTTCATTGCTTGTTATAATTTTTCTTATTCTACAAAGGAGTTTGGCATAGCACTCTAGAGGGCAGACAAACATGAGGTGAATCCTAACTTAATACTGTAGCTGTGTAACCTTGAGCAAATTAATTAACTTCCCCAGCTTCAATTCTCTACCGCCAGAAATAATGTATATAAAGCGTTTGGCCTGGCCTATTTTATAAATACATATACATAACTGTGTCTCTGTCTACATTTAAAACTATACTAAAAAGAGTGTATACGTATTTACATAAATGATGTTTTTGAAATCTGATAAAGTTAGAGGAATTGCAACATATTTTTATTCACCATGCTTTTGATGGTTGCCTATTCCTTCACTGTGTGGATTTATCATAATATGTTATGAGTCTCTTGTTGTTGAATGGTTAGTCTATTTCCAAAATATTGCTATTATAAACAAAGCTGTAATCATGTTTTAAAGTACATTTATTTCCAAATTTTATGATTAAAAATAATTTAATGCTCTGTCATGTTCATGCTTATAGGTTTAGTAAATATTTTCCTTTTTTTTCCAACCTGGCCAACATGATGAAACCCCGTCTTTACTAAAAATACAAAATTAGCCAGGCATTGTGGCATATGCCTGTAATCCCAGCTACTGGGAAGGCTGAGGCAGGAGAATCACTTTAACCCAGGAGGTGGAGGTTGCAGTGAGTCAAGATTGCACCACTGCACTCCAGCCTGGATGACAGAGCAAGACTCTGTCTCAAAAAATAAATAAATAAATAAATAAATAAATAAATAAATAAATAGATAAATAAAAATAAAAAGAAATTAAAAATAAAGAATAAAAGATATTTTTCCTTTTCCTCGAAGTAGATTTTTTAAAGTTAGAAAATTACAGAGAAATTATGAAAAAAGGAAATAAGATGCTCTGAGAAGTATCATTTGTTGTATTATTGCCCTACCTTTTAGTTAATTGAGTTTTTTAAATGTAGACAACACTGCTCAGTGTGATGACACTGCTGAAATGTTTCATTATTTTATACCAGTTCAGGTTAAAGCAATTTTGTGTTATGCGGAGGATAACAACATCTCATTTATCCTCAAGAAATGTGGTCACTGTTGCTCTTCTGGTGAGAATCTATTTTATAAGTTGTCTTCACAACATTAATGTACTGTTCAGATTTCTAGAGTAGTTGTACTTCAAAATATTGAAGGAAATATTTTGTTCTCTATCGAGAGACCACTTTTTGTGGAAGGAGACTGACATGGCATTTTTATATTTTAGCATTACATCAAGCATTGAAAAATATGGAAATCCTGCATAATTTTAAATAGGGCATGTCAAACTTCAGTTATTGGAGAACAAGAAACTAACCAAGCATGGGGGAAAATATCAGAAACTGGATCTCAAGTTGGAAGAAAATAAAAAGATTCCACAAATGTTGACAGTTCAAAGACAAAATAAAGTGATTAATTGTATAATCTAAGGAAGCTTTTTAAATACACACATATGTTATATCAACTTATTGCAAATGCAAATTTATGGTCATTTATTGTTGACAATGATGACAGAGAAATAGCTTGGAGAGAAACAAAAGAAATGTGTTTTCTAGCATTTTATGTTTATAGGATTATGAAATAAATGATCCATAGCTATGAAGCCATAGTTAATTATGGGTAAAATTTCTGGATATAAATATTAGAATAATTGTATGTTTAAAATTGTGTCAACATTGATATCTATGTTTAGCAGCAATTATAAAGGAAAACTATCTGTAAGCTGAAAGGATTGTTGTTAAAGAAGCTAAAAGTAAGTAATGCCCAATAATATTAGCTAACACTTATAGCACTTCTAGTGTGCCAGGTATAATTCTTAGCACAGTAACTAACTGAATAAATGCACTCATTTAATCTACAAAATAACCCTAGGGGGTGGGTAATATAATGATTTCAAAAGGCTACCTCTATTTAATAGGAAAGGACGGGGGCAGTGGCTCACGCCTGTAATCCCAGCACTTTGGGAGGCCAAGGCGGGCGGATCACGAGGTCAGGAGATCGAGACCATCTTGGCTAACATGGTGAAACCCCAGCTCTACTAAAAATACAAAAAATTAGCTGGGCGTGGTGGCAGGCACCTGTAGTCCCAGCTACTTGGGAGGCTGAGGCGGGAGAATGGTGAACCCGGGAGGCAGAGCTTGCAGTGAGCTGAGATCGCGCCACTGCACTCCAGCCTGGGCGACAGAGCAAGACTCCGTCTCAAAAAAAAAAAAAAAAAAAAAAAAAGATAGGAAAACTGATGAATGGAGAAGGTAGAATATCTTGCCCAGGGTAAAATATCTCACTACAAATAGTAGCTGAAAAAGCTGGAATCTGAACTTGGGTAGCATATGGTTCCCGATTGTAACTCTTAAAACTATATCGAACAATCAGGCAGCAACATTTGCTGTTCACCAGTATCCACTGTTCTGCAGCCTCTGCTGCTTATACCCAGGCAAACAGGGTCTGGAGTGGACCTCCAGCAAACTCCAACAGACCTGCAGCTGAGGGTCCTGACTGTTAGAAGGAAAACTAACAAACAGCAAGGACATCCACACCAAAGCCCCATCTGTATGTCATCATCGTCAAAGACCAAAGGTAGATAAAACCACAAAGGTGGGGAAAAAACAGAGCACAAAAACTGGAAACTCGAAAAATCAGAGCGCCTCTCCTCCTCCAAAGGAACACAGCTCCTCACCAGCAATGGAACAAAGCTGGACGGAGAATGACTTTGACGAGTTGAGAGAAGAAGGCTTCAGACGATCAAACTACTCGGAGCTAAAGGAGGAAGTTCGAAACCACGGCAAAGAAGTTAAAAACCTTGAAAAAAATTAGATGAATGGCTAACAAGAATAACCAATGCAGAGAAGTCCTTAAAGGACCTGATGGAGCTGAAAACCATGGCACGAGAACTACGTAACAAATGCACAAGCCTCAGTAGCTGACTCGATCAAGTGGAAGAAAGGGTATCAGTGATGGAAGATCAAATGAATGAAATGAAGCAAGAAGAGAAGTTTAGAGAAAAAAGAATAAAAAGAAATGAATAAAGCCTCCAAGAAATATGGGACTATGTGAAAAGACCAAATCTACATCTGATGGGTATACCTGAAAGTGATGGGGAGAATGGAAGCAAGTTGGAAAACACTCTGCAGGATATTATCCAGGAGAACTTCCCCAATCTAGCAAGGCAGGCCAACATTCAAATTCAGGAAATTCCGAGAATGCCACAAAGATACTCCTTGAGAAGAGCAACTCCAAGACACATAATTGTCAGATTTACCAAAGTTGAAATGAAGGAAAAAATGTTAAGCGCAGCCAGAGAGAAAGGTCGGGTTACCCACAAAGGGAAGCCCATCAGACTAACAGCTGATCTC
Organism: Homo sapiens; assembly: GCF_000001405.40. Lineage (NCBI taxonomy): Eukaryota > Metazoa > Chordata > Mammalia > Primates > Hominidae > Homo > Homo sapiens. The sequence goes on from NC_000005.10 coordinate 165,414,337, forward strand.
TCAGCAGAAACTCTACAAGCCAGAAGAGAGTGGGGGCCAATATTCAACATTCTTAAAGAAAAGAATTTTCAACCCAGAATTTCATATCCAGCCAAACTAAGCTTCAAAAGTGAAGGAGAAATAAAATACTTTACAGACAAGCAAATGCTGAGAGATTTTGTCACCACCAGGCCTGCCCTACAAGAGCTCCTGAAGGAAGCACTAAACATGGAAAGGAACAACCGGTACCAGCTGCTGCAAAAACCTGCCAAATTGTAAAGACCATCAAGGCTAGGAAGAAACTGCCTCAACTAACGAGCAGAATAACCAGCTAACATCATAATGACAGAATCAAATTCACACATAATAATTTTAACCTTAAATGTAAATGGACTAAATGCTCCAATTAAAAGACACAGACTGGCAAATTGGATAAAGAGTCAAGACCCATCAGTGTGCTGTGTTCAGGAAACCTGTCTCACACGCAGAGACACACATAGGCTCAAAATAAAGGGATGGAGGAAAATCTACCCAAGAAATGGAAAACAAAAAAAGGCAGGGGTTGCAATCCTAGTCTCTGATAAAACAGACTTTAAGCCAACAAAAATCAAAAGAGACAAAGAAGGCCATTACATAATGGTAAAGGGAACAATTCAACAAGAAGAGCTAACTCTCCTAAATATAAATGCACCCAATACAGGAGCACCCAGATTCATAAAGCAAGCCCTTAGAGAGCTACAAAGAGACTTAGACTCCCACACAATAATAATGGGAGACTTTAACACCCCACTGTCAACATTAGACAGATCAATGAGACAGAAAGTTAACAAGGATATCCAGGAATTGAACTCAGCTCTGCACCAAGCAGACCTAATAGACAAATACAGAACTCTCCACCCCAAATCAACAGAATATACATTCTTTTCAGCACCACACCACACCTATTCCAAAATTGACCACATAGTTGGAAGTAAAGCACTCATCAGCAAATGTAAAAGAACAGAAATTATAACAAACTGTCTCTCAGACGACAGTGCAATCAAACTAGAATTCAGGATTAAGAAACTCACTCAAAACCGCTCAACTACTTGGAAACTGAACAACCTGCTCCTGAGTGACTACTGGGTACATAAAGAAATGAAGGCAGAAATAAAGATGTTCTTTGAAACCAATGAGAACAAAGACACAACATACCAGAATCTCTGGGACACATTCAAAGCAGTGTGTAGAGGAAATTTATAGCACTAAATGCCCACAAGAGAAAGCAGGAAAGATCTAAAATTGACACCCTAATATCACAATTAAAAGAACTAGAGAAGCAAGAGCAAACACATTTAAAAGCTAGCAGAAGGCAAGAAATAACTAAGATCAGAGCAGAACTGGAGGAGATAGAGACACACATAAAACCCTTCAAAAAGTCAATGAATCCGGGAGCTGGTTTTTTGAAAAGATCAACAAAATTGAAACACCGCAAGCAAGACTAATAAAGAAGAAAAGAGAGAAGAATCAAATAGATGCAATAAAAAATGATAAAGGGGATATCACCACCAATCCCACAGAAATACAAACTACCATCAGAGAATACTATAAACACTTGTATGCAAATAAACTAGAAAATCTAGAAGAAATGGGTAAATTCCTGGACACATACACCCTCCCAAGACTAAACCACAAAGAAGTTGAATCTCTGAATAGACCAATAACAAGCTCTGAAATTGAGGCAATAATTAATAGCTTACCAACCAAAAAACGTCCAGGACCAGATGGATTCACAGCCGAATCCATGTCTACCAGACATACAAGCAGGAGATGGTACCGTTCCTTCTGAAATTATTCCAATCAATAGAAAAAGAGGGAATCCTCCCTAACTCATTTTATGAGGTCAGCATCATCCTGATACCAAAGCCGGGCAGAGACACAACCAAAAAAGAGAATTTTAGACCAATATCCCTGACGAACATCAATGCAAAAATCCTCAATAAAATACTGGCAAACCGAATCCAGCAGCACATCAAAAAGCTTATCCACCATGATCAAGTGGGCTTCATCCCTGGGATGCAAGGCTGGTTCAACATACGCAAATCAATAAACGTAATCCATCATATAAACAGAACCAATGACAAAAACCACATGATTATCTCAATAGATGCAGAAAAGGCCTTTGACAAAATTCAACAACACTTCATGCTAAAAACTCTCTATAAATTAGGTATTGATGGGAAGTATCTCAAAATAATAAGAGCTATCTATGACAAACCCACAGCCAATATCATACTGAATGGGTAAAAACTGGAAGCATTCCTTTTGAAAACTGGCACAAGACAGGGATGCCCTCTCTCACCACTCCTATTCAACATAGTGTTGGAAGTTCTGGCCAGGGCAATCAGGCAGGAGAAGGAAATAAAGGGTATTCAATTAGGAAAAGAGGAAGTCAAATTGTCCCTTTTTGCAGATGACATGATTATGTATCTAGAAAAACCCATCATCTCAGCCCAAAATCTCCTTAAGCTGATAGGCAACTTCAGCAAAGTCTCAGGATAGAAAATCAACGTGCAGCAATCACAAGCATTCTTATAGGCCAATAACAGAGAGCCAAATCATGAGTGAACTCCCATTCACAATTGCTTCAAAGAGAATAAAATACCTAGGAATCCAACTTACAAGGGATGTGAAGGACCTCTTCAAGGAGAACTGCAAACCACTGCTCAAGGAAATAAAAGAGGATACAAACAAATGGAAGAACATTCCATGCTCATGGGTAGGAAGAATCAATATCATGAAAATGGCCATACTGCCCAAGGTAATTTATAGATTCAATGCCATCCCCATCAAGCTACCAATGACGTTCTTCACAGAATTGGAAAAAACTACCTTAAAGTTCATATGGAACCAAAAAAGAGCCCACATCACCAAGTCAATCCTAAGCCAAAAGAACAAAGCTGGAGGCATCACACTACCTGACTTCAAACTATACTACAAGGCTACAGTCACCAAAACAGCATGGTACTGGTACCAAAACAGAGATATAGATCAGTGGAACAGAACAGAGCCCTCAGAAATAATGCTGCATATCTACAACTATCTGATCTTTGACAAACCTGACAAAAACAAGAAATGGGGAAAGGATTCCCTATTTAATAAACGGTGCTGAGAAAACTGGCTCACCATATGTAGAAAGCTGAAACTGGATCCCTTCCTTACACCTTATACAAAAATTAATTCAAGATGGATTAAAGACTTAAATGTTAGACCTAAAACCATGAAAACCCTAGAAGAAAACCTAGGCAATACCATTCAGGACATAGGCATGAGCAAGGACTTCATGTCTAAAACACCAGAAGCAATGGCAACAAAAGCCAAAATTGAGAAATGGGATCTGATTAAACTAAAGAGCTTCTGCACAGCAAAAGAAACTACCATCAGAGTGAACAGGCAGCCTACAGAATGGGAGAAAATTTTTGCAATCTACTCATCTGACAAAGAGCTAATATCCAGAATCTACAATGAACTCAAACAAATTTACAAGAAAAAAACAACCCCAACAACAAGTGGGCGAAGGATATGAACAGACACTTCTCCAAAGAAGATATTTATATGCAGCCAAAACACACATGAAAAAATGCTTATCATCACTGGCCATCAGAGAAATGCAAATCAAAACCACAATGAGATATCACCTCACACCAGTTAGAATGGCGATCATTAAAAAGTCGGGAAACAACAGGTGCTGGAGAGGATGTGGAGAAACAGGAACACTTTTACACTGTTGGTGGGACTGTGAAGTAGTTCAACCATTTTGGAAGTCAGTGTGGCAATTCCTCAGGGATCTAGAACTGGAAATACCATTTGACCCAGCCATCCCATTACTGGGTATATACTCAAAGGATTATAAATCATGCTGCTATAAAGACACTTGCACACATATGTTTATTGTGGCACTATTCACAATAGCAGAGACTTGGAACCAACCCAAATGTCCAACAATGATAGACTGGATTAAGGAAATGTGACACGGAATACTATGCAGCCATAAAAAAGGATGAGTTCATGTCCTTTGCAGGGACATGGATGAAGCTGGAAACCATCATTCTCAGCAAACTATCGCAAGGACAAAAAACCAAATACCGCATGTTCTCACTCATAGGTGGGAATTGAACAATGAGAACACATGGACACAGGAAGGGGAACATCACACACTGGGGCCTGTTGTGGGGTGGGGGGAGGGGGGAGGGATAGCATTAGGAGATATACCTAATGTTAAATGGCGAGTTAATGGGTGCAGCACACCAACATGGCACATGTATACATATGTATCAAACCTGCACATTGTGCACCTGTACCCTAAAACTTAAAGTATAACTTCTTTCAACAAGTTGCCACTTTGATCCACATGAAACTGTAGATACTAAATACAGATGATATTAGATTCTCTTCTAATGAGGGGAACCGAGATCTAATAGCTTAAGAAATGCCACATTCTCAAATACTGTTTGTAAATTCTGATTTAGGATATTTGTCTATTTTTTGAAAAAAGTTGTAATGCAATACAACTTAAAAGTACTTGATCCTGTCCAAAAATAATCAATCTTCTCGAGTGAACTGACTAAAATATCTAAACTAGCTATTTAATCAAGAAAGAGACAGAACATGTCATTAAACCAGTCATAGGATTTTTTGCTTTTTTAATCTCCTTAGGCTGACATGTCATGGCTCAGTCAACAAGCACAATTATCCTTAACCTGAGGACATATATTAACAAGAAGCCATCTATTTCTGGTTATAGATACTCTTCTGCACGTGCCTGTGGAAAAAATATGGATATGAATTAAGCAGATTATTGGAGCTATATACAAAATCATGATATATTCTTAGTTATTAGGGATGTTAGGGAAAAAATAAGTGATGAAAATAGCCAGCTCAGGACATCTGACTTGACAGTCAATGCAATCAAAGATGTGATATTAGTGGCACATTCACAGTTACACTTCTGATTTTCTGATTCTTCCCTTAAGCATTTGCATTTCTAGTGACATAAAGTATGGTCAGATGTGGGTACCAAAGTGAAGAAGAAAAAAATGGAGATAAGTTTCTTAATAGTGGAAAAATAGAATATTGTTACATTAATTTTCTTGGTCAGAGGAACTTAACCTATTATCTCTTTATGTTTCGAAAAGAGTATGGTGTGCATGTGTGTGTATTTGTGTGGGCATGCATGTGAGTGCACGTGTGTATGCACGGGTGTGTGGTGCGTGCTGGTTTGTAAGAAGAAAGTTCATAGTTTTCAAGAGATATTTCCTCTTAAAAATATGGAATAGCAAATATTTCAATGTTTGGCTATTGAAGGTATAGGCTGAATTAGGTGGATGACTTTTAAAAAAAATTAGTATTTTAGCGAAGACATCATATAAACTTGGAGCAAAATAGAACAAACTCATGTTTAAAAGAAGTCACACTACACCAGTCATATTCTTCTGCATCCTATATTTTGTCTAGCTTACTACAGTTCTGACTATGGGCTTCTACTGAGCATAAAACCCATACTTTCATTTTTCTGTTTGGATTTTGCTGGTGTGGGTGTTAGTTTGCTTATTTGGTCCTAAAGAACTAAAAGGATTGCATTTTGTGAGGAAATTCCAAAGAAATGATATAAATGAACACTTTTTTTCTTTCATTTTATTCAACGTATAGACATAATGGACCAGGAAGTTGTCCGGTATAAAATAATCTTGAAATGGAGCACACACAAAAGATAATAAATAGAATAAATTTTGCATTTTTTGTTCAAAAATGAGTTTATTTCAGATAATGCTTTAAGAAGATCCTATGAACTATTTTATACGTTATTATAAAGAAATCTACAACTGAAAAGTTTGGCTTTTCTGTATGAAGTATTTCTTATTAACATGTAATATATGAACAGTTTTGCATCTACGCTTTATTAGCAGTAAGCGTAGACATACCAGTTCATTGTACAGCTGTTTTTAAAATACCCAATTATTTTATATTTTTGGTCTTTACTATGTATTTGGAAATAGAGGACTATTTTGATGTCAGTCATTCATGAAGGTAAATCAACTAAAACTTGGCTAGTCTAGAATTTACTCAAAGCTGCATAAATGCTTTATAAAATTCATATGCAAAACCGTTTGGACAAGTGGATGCAGCAGTTAGGTGATGTTGTATAAATTCACCGTTTATATTAAAGTCGGATGATCTCGTCCTCCCGGTTTCTGTAGATGTCAAGAGGATAAAAGGTTCAAAAGGGTGAGGAAAAGAGGATGTTTTCATTACAAGGGGTACTTAAGGCTCTTATATATTCATATTACCAGACATGTTAAAAGCTCATTTGTCTGCCAAGAGCATGTGAACATAGTACCTGAGTTATTTGAAATTGCCACACTTATGAAAGAACTATTGTCCTAAAGAGGAACTTGAATAAAAGCCTGCCAGGTTAAGGTTTCCTTGGAAGTGCTTTGCAGTTTTTATAATAACTCACAGGACTTTCTGAAATTCTGATTAAATATTGTACTTCTGAAGGTTAATTTTCCAACAGTAACAGATCATGCTGTTTTGGAATTATCTTAGTTGACTTTCTAAACTCTTAATTTTTAGTTGAATCTTATTATTCGTATTTCTTCTCTCTCTCCTCTCCCTATCTCTCTCTCTGTCTCTCTCTCTCTCACTCGCTCTCTGTAATGTAAAAAAATTGAAATACAAAAAGGCCTTTACAGCAATTCATAAAGGGTGGGCAAAATCATCAGATGAGGAATTATATTAATGAAAAAAAAAGTTGTTTCCTAATAAATTAGTCGATTCTATTTTCCCTTGCAAGTAGATTATTAAATATCCACATTTAATTAAAGTAGGGAAAACTTGTAAGGGGGAGAAGGAACAGTAGAACAGCAAACAAGAGTAGCATACTGATATGATTTGCAAAATACCTTTGAATTCCAGAAAGCTCTGGACAAAATAAGGGCATAGGAGACAAATAATTTTCAGCAAGAGATGTGCTGAATACTTTCAAATATTTTAGGAATGAGTTAGTCAATGTTATGACCAGTAGTGACAGTTATATAACAGACTTCAGCTTTAAAATAGATCTTTATTTTTGATGTTACTATGACATTTTTTCTAAGAGGTCTTGTTGCTGAAAGACTGAAAATCAGTGACATGGGTAATAGCTGTGTGACAAAATTGAATTTCAAAATATGAAAAACAAAACTCCTGAATATCTATCAGGTCAATGACCCTATATAAATTACTTTTTCCCAAGCTGGGTTGTTGAGATATCATTTTTCCAAAAAAAACCCCACATCTCTCTTTAAGTGTATATTGACTGGTTAAAAATTACCATTTAAAAAAATACTTGAAATTAGTTTCATACTTGCAATGATAGATGATTTTTGAAAGTGTAACACTGCATTATTTGATAGTTTAATGTGAATTTATTATATCATAATGTTTGGCAAATGCCACAAAAGCAATTAGAATTTACTTAATTGTTGCCCATACACCATTCTTTCATGGAAATTAAAGAAGAACATTATGAGGCACATCTGATAAGTAAGTGATTCCTTAAAGCAAAGTCTATAAATATGTTTAGTCACCTTCTATCAATTTTTCAAAGAAGCATATTGCCACCAAAATGGAAACAAATATATCTTAATTTGTTTTTGAAGGACCTTTATTTGTTTAATGGGTAGCCAAGAAAGGGATTTAAGGGCTTGCTATGGAACCATAAGGCATGTATTTTTGTGAGTTCATATGAATGGGGTGAAGGGAATGGAAAAATGAGTTTAATGAGAAAAATATGAGTGTAGGTTCCTAGGAAGAAACAAGGGGTATATTTATTAATAGGCTTCTTTTGTTTACCCAGCATTATTCCATCTGTCAGAAAGAGAACTGTACATAAAAGCTGTGGTGGATAGTTCTCTTAAGGATTCTGTAAAAGCAGATGCCCAAGCTGAGATATTTGGAAGTCCCAGAGTCAAAGAGACTCAAAGTTAAAGAGATGAAGCGGCCAGGCGCAGTGGCTCATGCCTGTAATCCCAGCATTTGGGAGGCCAAGGTGGGTAGATAACCTGAGGTGAGGAGTTTGAGACCAGCCTGACCAACATGGTGCAACCCCGTATCTACTAAAACTATAAAAATTAGCTGGGCGTGGTGGCAGACGCCTGTAGTCCCAGCTACTAGGGAGGCTGAGGCAGGAGAATAGCTTGAATCCGAGAGGTGGAGGTTGCAGTGAGCCGAGATTGCACCATTGCCCTCCAGCCTGGGCAAAAAGAGCGAACTCCATCTCACAAAAACATAAAATAAAAAAGGCCAACTTCCCACCACCTCTCTGCCCTGTCCCATTTCTCATGGGATATGCCATGGACCTGTCTCTGTGAGAATGAAGAAGAAACAAGTGTCCTTTGTCAGTTCGCAGAAAGCACATACATGCAGTGGAAAGAATGACATTCAGCAGAACAAGATCATATTCCTAAATAACACAAGCATCTATAGTCATTGATCATAAAAATTGATTCACTTTTTCAGCAAGAACATGGGATGCTGGTGGTCCATGTGCTGGAACCTTTTCAAAGGAGTGAAGGCTGAACTTCCTACTGTCCTTATGTAAAAAAAAAAAAAAAAAAAAAAAAAAAATTGGTTTTAGCTTGAATAAAGATCCAGCCCTCTTTTGGCATAACAACATGAGTTCTGTAGTGGGTGGAGAGAATCAGTGAAAACACCCCACTTTAAAATGTGATAAGGTTTTCCATAAATCAGTGCCTTTATTAGACTCACTGTGTCATTGACAATAAAATAGCAGAGCTGGATGTCCCCACCAATATTTCATAGTTTTATTTTGAAAAAATATCATATCCAGTGTTCTGCCAGTATTGTATGATTTACTGTTCTACACTCAATTTTGAAATATCCGTCCCCATCTCAGCTATTCTATTCTTGGCACCAGGAAAGATTTTGCTTCAGGTTTTATTTATTCAGAGCCTGTTAATGTTGTAATTTTTATATCACTGTCATGTCATTTTGCCACTAATGTCATATATCTGATAAAAGAGCACAGGGAGAGAAGCTGTGTTCTTATTAATTAGAGAGGTCCGATAAATGGATTATCTTATTTAGTAAGCAAGTCCTTGACAGGCAGGAGAATACAGATGGGCATATTAATGCCGTCTTCTCAATTTACTGCTGTGTTAACACTAGCTTCATTCTTCTTGGTAAATCTGAATATCTCCCTAAAACCTGCTTTACTAATAATAGCTAAACATTACTGAATGACTAGCATGATTAACTATATATGCTATATTAACTTGAATTATTTCATTTATTTCTTATACCAACCCTATGATCGATGACCTGTTATTACAATCTCCATTTTAAAGATGAGGAAAGCAAGGCGGAGAAATGTTATAGTCACATAAGATTTCACAGCTAATAAAGCTAGACTTGAAATAAGTGCTGGTAATTCTTCCTTAGAGATACTTTTCTCATACTCCTGTCTTAGATAATGTTCACCTGCCATTATTCTCAGGCTTACCTTGTGATAGAGATAGGAATATTTATATAAGATATAAGTTGGTATAGGCCGGGCACAGTGGCTCACACCTGTAATCCCAGCGCTTTGGGAGGCCGAGGTGGGCGAATCACAGGTCAGGAGATTGAGACCATTTTGGCCAACATGGTGAAACCCCATCTGTACTAAAAATAAAAAAATTAGCTGGCATGGTGGCATGTGCCTATAATCCCAGCTACTCGGGAGGCTGAAGCAGGAGAAACGCTTCAACCCGGGAGGCGGAGGTTGCAGTGAGCTGAGATCGCACCACTGCAGTCCAGCCTGGTGACATAGCAAGACTCCATCTCAAAAAAACAAAACAAAACAAAACAAAATGAAAAAAAAAGTAAAAGAAAAAAGATATAAGTTGGTATAAAACAAATGGTAAGTTTGTCATCTGGATTTTGATGTTATATTGTTGTTTGCTCATTGAAGAAACATGCAGCTTCTGTTTCTGTCCTATAACAAGGCAAACTTGCTCATCATGTCCTCAGCTGGGGATACTGAGTAATACTGTACTTTAAAATGTAGGAGAATATTATCAAGACTTATCTTGCTTTTATATGGAAAAGGTATTTTTTTCCTCCAATGTCATTATTCAAATAATTTCAACTTTGAAGATAAAAAGTGGAATCTACTTCCTCCTTATGGTTTCCTTTGTTTTCAGTGGCTTATTCCCTGACTGGTTTCTTGTGCAGAAGGTACCTAACATGCTAAGTTTCTTACCCCTGTGGTATAGTTTTTGTATTTTAATATTTAGCTGCTGGAACTTTCATTAACACTCACACACACCCAAACACACACATAAACAGAAATTGGGTTTTTAGCTTTCATTTTATGAAAGCTATGTGAAATAATAGAAAAGTATGATAATCCCTCGGTAGATATTTATTATTTTGGGGGGAATAAAGAGCTTTCAAGAAAAAGGAGATTTCAAGAAAAAAGATATATTTGTTTTAAGGGCACTATAAGACAAAATTGGATGCATTTCTAAAGAAAACTGAATTGTGTCTTTCTCACCTGTTGAATGATTCTTGCTCATTGGGCCATAGCCCATTCACTGCCATTTCTTGACCCAGATTTGTAGGATGTTAATAACCCTGTCCAATCCTGACCAGTTGGACTTCATGATGCCCTGTTTCTTTTCTTTTCTTTCTTTTTTTTTTTTTTGACATGGAGTCTCACTCTGTTGCCCAGGCTGGAGTGCATTGGTGCAATATCGGCTCACTGCAACCTCCGCCTCTTAGGTTCAAATGACTCCCCTACCTCAGCCTTCCAAGTAGTTAGGATTACAGGTGCCTGCCACCATGCCTGGCTAATTATTGTATTTTGGGTAAAGATGGGGTTTCACCATGTTGGCCAGGCTGGTCTCGAACTCCTGACCTCAGGTGATCTGCCCTCCTCAGCCTCCCAAAGTGCCGCGATTATAGGTGTGAGCCGTTGCACCTGGCCCATGATGCTCTGCTTCTAAAGGCTCAGCCACATCTAGCTTCTGTGTCTCACTGAACCAACTCAGGGAGAGCTTTTTCATCTTCCACACTCCAGAAAAATGGGTCAGAGTGGAAATCCGTTAGGGTTTCGTAGACCTAGCCCTTTAATTTCCTCAAATGTGATACTTGTATTTCAGTTTGTAAGACCGCTCTTCTACTTTGACTTCCATTTTAGTATGATACTTGTTAAATCAAGTTGGCCTAGAGTCGTTTCCTTACATATTTTAAGTTAGGCCCAAAGGGTTCTCTGTACATAGTGAACTATAACCTAAATGAAGTTAGATTATAGTTATAACCTAAAGATACTGCAGCCTGTTCGTGTGCTGATCACCAAGTTTGGGCCAATCAAAGGTGACCAACTGTTCAAACCATGTTCAAATAAGGCAGATGCTGAGCTGTAACCAATCCGGCTGTTTCTGAACCTCACTTCCCTTTTTCTGTAGGTCACTTTCCTTTTTCTGTCCATAAATCTTCTACCACATGACTGTGCTGGAGTCTATCTGAGCCGACTCTGGCTGAAGAGGCTGCCCAATTCATGAATCATTGTTTGCTCAATTAAATATTGTTAAATTTAATTCGGTGGGGGCTTTTCTTTGAACACAGTCTTTGATGGGGGCTTAAAGTCACTCTCAAAGTTGTAACTTCCTCAGCAGGGATACTAACTCTTTACTGTATTCTGTCAATGACCTCTTTGGATGCTTCTCCCTATTCTCCCATTCCTCTCAGTGGCCCTTCCTGTTCCCAGTAACTGGTCATCTGGGGCCAAGCATTAGACTCCTTTGACTTTGAGAATTATCAATTTTAGAAAACGCTTGCTGTCCCCCATACCAGAGAGCCCCTCTTGGACACTTGTCCTGGCCTGGTTCAAACCTGAGTGTACTGAATATTATGAGTTAAACTGTGACCTGGGGAGCTCAGCCATGGGGATGTTTTGTCCTAGTTCATGGCGCCCTCACCTTCCCCACTAGCTTTTTAGGCTACAAGGTCCCAGCATGTCTGTGAACTGAGCCCATCTGAGGAGCAACAGTAAATATATGGCATTTATTCTCAAGCACTACTGGCTGTATCTCAAACAAAATATAGCTGACCCTTGAATAACACAGGTTTGAGCTGTGCAGGTCCACTTATATTTGGATTTTCTTCTGCCTCTGCCAACCCCGAGACAGCAAGACCAACCCTCCTCTTTTTCCTCCTTCTCAGCCTACTCAACAGGAAGATAACAAGGATGAAGACCTTTATGATGATCCATTTAATGAGTAGTAAATATATTTTCTCTTTCTTATGATCTATCTAGCTTATTTTATTTTAAAAATATAGTACATAATATATATAACAAGTACATTATTTATATATATATATATATGTATATATAACAGTACATAATATATATGCCAAGTATGCATTAATTGACTATGGCAGCAGTCTCCAACCTTTTTGGCACCAAGGACTGATTTTGTGGAAGAAAATTTTTCCATGGACAACCAGTAGGGGATGGTTTCAGGGTAATTCAAGTGCATTACATTTATTGTGCATTTTATTTCTATTATTACATTGGAATATAAAATGAAATAATAATACAACTCACCATAATGTCAAATGAGTAGGAGCCCCGAGCTTGTTATCCTACAACTAGATGGTCCCATCTGGGAGTGATAGACAATGACAGACCATCAGGCATTAGATTCTTATAAGGAGCATGCACCCTAGATCCCTCACATGTGCAATTCACAACAGAATTCGGATCCCTGAGAATCTAATGCCACTGCTGATAGGAGGCTGAGCTCAGGCAGCAGTGAGCAATGGAGAATGGCTGTAAATAGAGATGAAGCTTCACTTGCTCAAATGCTGCTTACCTCCTCCTGTGTAGCCTGGTTCCTAACAGGCCAAGGAATGGTACCAGTCTGTGGCCCGAAGGTTGGGGATCCCTGGCCTATAGTATCAATAAGGCTTCTGGTCTAGTAGGCCAGAAATTTTGAGGGAGTTGAATTTGTACGTGGATTTATGACTATGCGAAGGGTCAGTGTCTCTAACCCCCATGGTTGTTCAAGGGTCGATTGTACTCATAAATGCATCCTGGGTATTGAATACCACTTCCACTTTTGTTTTTGAAATGTAAAGGCTGAAACAATCTGGAAAAGGCCAATACCATCACTAGGTTTTTACTGATAGGAAAGCTGGAAGCTAACTTGGTAAGATGCTCCCGGTGTGCACCACTATTGTGACACACCCAGCAATGAACTTTTGTAGAAGTGTGTAAGTGACAGAGCTGGAATTTCAACTGTGAGGTGCATGATTATAAGGTCCTGCCTTTTGTATTAATACCTTCTCTCACTGCCTCGCTTTCAGTAATTCTGCTAAAATTAGCTGTGCTGATGTGGATCAGTCCCTCACCTTTCTGAGCTTGATAGTTTTTGTTCTATCAGGAAGGTGGACAAGATGCTGTCTCCTTTCAGTCTCTGATCTAAGATGTCATATTAAGTGTCAAATTATAATTCTCATGAGCAGCACCCTTAAAGCAGCTTCTAAAAGATGGGGGAATTGCCTCTGCCCAGGTGACTATCTCTACTGGGGACTACCTCAGGCTTGAATCTGTTTCATTGTGATTTGGTACTTTGCATACATTGCTGTCCTGCCTCTTATATTGAATGGCTTTATTTTAAGTTTGTATCATGAATATTTTCAAATTTCTATCCAAACTGTATGAGAAATATGATTTCTATATCATCTGTGTTACTCAAGAAGGGCTTTCAAAATGTCTTATAAAGAAAAAAGCCATGTTTTTATGACAATCTGCATCAGTCACTTTCCTATTTTTTATTTTTGCTTAACTTATTACCAATACATATATTGGGAATCTTTCTACTTAACAAAACCAAAAAAGAGGGAAAGAACCTCTTTTTAAAATTTGCATGGATTCTCTTTTATTCCTTCAAGTCATGAAGGTCTGGACATATGGTCAAAATGTTCAGAGGTAAATTCTTAGAATTCTGAATGGTATTTGTAATAACAAAGTATCCCAACAATTTTTTTATGGATTCAGCTAATTACTACAGATTTGGTTGCAATTCAAGTAACTTTAGTACCTTAGGAAAAGTAAGATGCTTCAGGCAAGACTATCAGCATAAGAATAAGTGAGTTAGCAAGCATTAATAAACCTGGAGAACAACACTGTTAAATGTTTTATGCCTTTTTTGAGTACGTACCACTGCAGAAAATTGAATGAACAGCTTTTTGGCTATGAATGTTAGAAGTAAAATTTTTAAGCATTGTTTTGCTTTTCTTTTGGTGACAGACTTATCAAACTGAACATTTTCTGATACAGAATGCCTTCTAGGCATTCTTTCTCTTAGAGCTTAGCAATGTGTGTAAAAACTGTAGTCACCCTTCACATCTACCTTCTTTCTCTCCCAAAAACCATTCAACTGTTAAGTGTTTACTGAATGCCAACTCTGTGCCAGAGTTAGGGATACGCTATGCTCAGACTTGGAGTTAGAACAACGAAAAAGAATTATGTCATGTACTCTAGAAAGTCACAAAGTCCACATTGGTTTTGAGACAATATTTAGCGTTCAAGTTTCACTGGATTCTTGAACAATGAATGACAAAATAATATCAATTATTTTCATTACGGCAAAAGCTTGCTGAATGTCTACCATGCCCTTAATGATCTGTGTTTCAAATATAAGAGGTACTATTTCTACCTTCAGAGAGGGTATTCTAGTGAGTTTACATATGGATTTTCTGTTCCCCCATAAGTAGGAGGAGAAGCATGAGCAGGAAGAGGAGCGGAAGGAGGAATCATATTTTAAAAATAATTTTTAAGTCTAATTTGTGCTAGGAATTCTTTGAATTTCAAATGAAGTATAATGTGATTTCTTAAAAATTACTTCTCATCTAGCTAGGGTAGAAACTAACGTTTATTGTGTTCTTGTATGTATCAGGGACTTTATATAATAATAGCCAATATTTATTGAGAAGTACGTAAGTGACTCAGATTATCTTTACATAGATTGCTTAATCCGTTAACATGATTTTTTTTCCCAATTCTGTTTATAAAGGTTGTTTTATCTAATCATCTCTAAAATGCCTTGAGATGGATATCATGCCCGTCCTCATTTTCTAGATGGAGAAACCTAGTCCCAAAGAGATTGATAAGTTAGACAAATTCACATAGTTAATAAAGTATGGAGCTAGGATTTAATTTTAGGCAGAGAAAGAGATTTCCCATGAAACAAAATTTAAAATTCAGGAACAATTACTTCTACCAGCTCCTTCCAAGAACTTATGCTTAAATCACATTTGTAACTTTGAACTGTTTATCTCAAGAATGACCCTAAAAAGTTTGCTAAGCTTCTGCCGGGCGCAATGGCTCACACCTGTAATCCCAGCACTTTGGGAGGCCGAGGTGGGTGGATCACTTGACTTGAGGTCAGGAGTTTGAGACCAGCCTGGCCAACATAGTGAAACCCCGTCTCTACTAAAAATGCAAAAATTCGCCGGGCGTGGTTGTGGTGCCTGTAATCCCAGCTACTTGGGAGGCTGAGGCATGAGAATTGCTTGAACCCTGGAGGCAGAGGTTGCAGTGAGCAGAGACTGTGCCACTGCATGCCAGCCTGGGCAACAGAGCGAGACTCCGTCTCAAAAATAAAATGAAATAAAATAAAAGTTTGCCAAGCTTCAGACCCAGGCAGCTGGAACTTACATTATAAATTCAACTTCCCATTAATAAAAGCTCCTCTCTACTTATTGAGCCATCTCCAGTTTTCCTCCTCTGACCAAATGGATCCCCTGGAAACAAAGGCCAATTTGGCCACTTCTCTGGGGCCTGTTTTCTTTCCATTTCTCAAAGACTGCAATCTGCCAGTTATATTTATTTTTATTCCCTCTCCTTCATCTCTATTATCAATCTATTTCTCTCCATTACATTAGTCCCATCAGCATTCAAACATGCTCTAGTTTCACCATTTAAAAAGAGAGTTTAACAGAGGAAAAACATTTTAAAGCTCCCCATTTCCATTGCAGCTATGTTCATATCTTTCGAATCACTTTCCTCACTAGCAAAAAACCTATTGACTTGATCTGTCTTTGCTACATTTATTTCCTCATTTATTCAACAAATACATATTTATACCTGCTAGGTGTCAGACATTGTGCTAAACCACAGGATAAAAACAAAGAACAACACCAACTTCATAGGTATCATAGCTTATAACCAAAGTTTGTGTCGGGTGTGTACTATTATCTCAAGTGCATTCAAGAAATAATACGGATCTTAGTTGTCCGATTTTCATCCTAGCTCTTATGAAGTATGTTCAGGTTTTGGGTATTTGGTGTTCCCATATGTGAGAAAAATCAATCTTCTAAAAAAATTGCAAAATTTAAAGGAACTTTTAGATGTCAAACCTGGTATTTATTTGATCTAAATTTATCATGCTGCATTATCATCTAAGGGTATTAGTCTGCTTTTAATTTAAGACCTGGGCTTCACCAAAACATTTTGGTTTGGTGATCAAAGTGGATACACACTGTTCTTATCATGTGCCGAAAACAAGAGGGATGCTAACCCACATAATGGGATTTTTCTGGCATTTCTATTAATATAGGTATGTTTTATTGATCCCATTTTACAGATAAGGTAAGCATTAAAGATAAGCTAAAATTTTTCCAGTATAACCTAATCAATTATGTACAAAAACAAGATTTGAATACAGTTCTCTTAATTACACAGACCAAAGTTTTTCAAATATGTTTTATAAATGCAGCAGAAACAGGAGACCGAATGGGTGAGATTAGATAGGGACAAACGAATCATAAAGGTGAACATTGTGGAGCACGGCTTCAGAAGAAGGAGACAAGGAAAACACCTATATAGAAAAACTTTATGTAGAAAATGTCCAATTATTTATGCCCAAGCAAGGCAAAACCACAAAAAAGTAGCAATAGACAATATAATGTCGTTTGAAGTATTTCCTAGTCTGGCCCTCGTCCTTATCAATGGAAGAGAAGCTTTTTAAAAGTTCCATCCAAGAGAAGTTAGTAGACAAGTGAGTGAGCAATTGATAAATTGCTTGTGTTTCATCATCATGTTCTATGTAATCAGATTTGTAGTGTTTTTGTAGAATACTCACAAGCTCCTGTTATTTTTTTCTCTCCAAAATATTCTATTCCTTTGCTGTTTTAGGAGAAGCATTTTAAAGGAAGATTTGTTCCTAGTTTCATTTAACTGAATTTAAGCTTATTTGAAATTCTCATGATTTAGTGTTCTGCAGAGAGTTTTGTTGTATTTTTTTCTCCCTTTAATTTTAACTTGAACAGCTTGATGAGAGTTTAATAGAATTTGTTTTAAAGTTATTGCTGACCTTGAATTAAATGGGAGCCAATATATCCCCATGCAGGTGTGGGCTTCAATTTATGGCAAATATGTTTGTCTTTACAGTCATGCATAATTTCCAAATTCCAGAAATTACTTCTGTTTTATAGCTGTACCTTCTAAACCCATCATAAGGAGGGCTCTGTGAGCACTTCTATTACATTCTTTACTTTACAGAGGTTTATAACATAGTCATAAAACTCACTCTACGATTAGTTTTGGCAGATAAACTCTCATCTAGGGGAGGAAGGTGTTGTTTTTTCCAACAATTTAAAAAGACCATACTGGCTTGCCTGTTCTCACACAACTGGAGTTCATAGACTCATTTTTGCTACAAAACCTTTCTTTGGGTTTTGTAAAAGAGGATGCCCTAATTAGCCTTCATATATTTGTGCATTAGAACCTCTCTTTTCTCCCCAGGAAGGAGAACTGCATAGTAATTCAAAGTTTGGATACCAGATGTTAGTTCAGATCCCTACTCTATGATTTTAATAGGTCTGAGATTGTGAATCAGCTATTTAGTATATAAAATAAGCATTTAATAAGTAGTAGCTATATAGGTATATGCTATCTCATTATTTTTAGTCCTGTTATCACTTAGGAACTTAATGAGCTCCTTAATCATATGCATATCTCTAAATAATGAATCAAATTTGTTCTTTCATGTTGTTGTTCAATAATGATTATAAGACTGGATATTAGAGATACAAAGGTAATGAAACATGGCTCCTGCCGTCAAGGGATATGTAGTTCAGTAAGAAAAAGTCAGACTTTTAAGGAAACAATTCAAATCCAAACTATTTAGTGTTTCCCTGGAAGCTTGGACAGCTCAGAGCAAAGACAGCTTATTCCGACTAGGGCCTCAGTGAAGGTTTTTTAATGCGGTAAATGGAAGGGAGGAATTCCTTCATACTAAAGAATGATAGGATGATTGCAAGCCAGTTAGATAAACATCCACAAGTAAAGCATGAAGGGGTAAGCTGGCAACTAGAATATGACTGGAGTTAAGACTATAGGAGGATGGCAGGTGGGAAGGAGGGATAGCAAAAAGCTGTAATGGAAAGATCTTCCTATTCCTTCTCCCACATGGGAAATGTGCTCTACTCTCTCTTGGTCAGATATCCTGTATGCCATATATTCATTACTATTTATTTTGGTGGAGCATGTTCACCAGTAGCTAAGTGTGGGAGGTATTTTTAATCGTTTTTTTTTTTTTCTGAGACAGAGTTTCACTCTGTTGCCCAGACTGAAGTGCAATGGCGTGATCTCAGCTCACTGCAACCTCCACCTCCCAGGTTCAAACGATTCTCGTGCCTCATCCTCCCAAGTAGCTGGGATTACAGATGTGTGCCACCACACCAAGCTAATTTTTGTATTTTTTAAAGTAGAGATGGGGTTTTGCCATATTGGCCAGGGTGATCTCGAGCTCCTGGCCTCAAAGGATCCACCTGCCTGGGCCTCCCAAAGTGCTAGGATTACAATCGTGAGCCACTGCTCCTGACCATTAAATATTTTATGTCTTGCAATGGCTTTATTCTACCCTCTCCCTTGACATATAATTTAGCTAAGTATATAATTTTAAGTTGGAAATTATTTCCCTTCAGCATTTTCTTTTTTTTTTTTTTTTTTTTTTTTTTTTTAAGATGGAGTCTCACTCTGTCGCCCAGGCTGGAATGCAGTGGCACGATCTCGGCTCACTGCAAGCTCCGCCTCCCGGGTTCACGCCATTCTCCTGCCTCAGCCTCCCGAGTAGCTGGGACTACAGGCGCCCGCCACCACGCCCGGCTAATTTTTTGTATTTTTAGTAGAGACGGGATTTCACCGCCCTTCAGCATTTTGAAGGTCTAAATGCATTGTCTTCAAGCATGAAATCTAAAGCCCTTCTGATTTCCGATCTTTGCATATGACCTACACTTTCCTCCTTCAGTGGTTTTAGAATGTTCTTTTTGCCACTGTCTTTCTGATATTTAACCTACTTTTACCAGCTGTTCTAGACAATCTGTTGCATTTATAATTCAGAAACTTACATCCTTCAGAGCTGGGAAATTTTCTCAAAATATTACATTGGTCATTTTTTCAGTTTCCTTCTTTTCTTAATATTTTGGAATGCCTCTTATTCAGATGTGAGATAGTATTGTCATTGCTCTAATTTTCTTATTCTTTCTCTCTTCCATTATTTTGTCCTTTTGATCTACTTTCGTGTTATTTTATTTTCTTAACCTTATCTTTCAGTCCTTCTACTGATTTATTTTTTTCCTATTTTGCCTTTATGTTTTAAATTACCAAAGGCCATTTTTATTTTTAAGTAATTCTTAAAAATTATATTCTATTTTATTCCAGGTTTTTATAGGTATAATTGACAGATAATATTGCATATATTAAAGAACAACAATGAGAGGAATCCATATACATATACATTATAAAATGATTACCACAATCAAGTTAGTTAACATATCCACCAATGCACAGTTACCTTATGTGCCTGTGTGTGTGTTCTAAGAACACTAAAGATCTACTCTCAGCAAATCTCAACTATATGATGCAATATTATTAACTACAGCCACTATGCTGTACATTTGATCTGCAGAACTTATTCATCTATAACTGAAAGTTGTGTTCTTTGACCAGTATCTTTTCACCCACCCTCTAGCTCCTAAAAACCACCATTCTACTCTATGTTTTTATGAGTTAGACATTTTTACATTCCAAATATGTTGCCCACATGTGAATGAGATCATGTCTTTCTGTGTTTGGCTTATTTCACCAAGAAAAATGCCCTCCAGTTTCATCCATGTTGTCACAAATAGCAAGATTTCCTGCTTCTTTATGGCTAAAAAACAGTTCATTCTCTCTCTCTCTTTCTCTCTCTCTTTCTTGTAATATTTCCTTTATCTATCTATCCATCACCAGACACTTAGATTGTTTCCATGTCTTGGCTATTGTGAACAATGCTGCCATGGATGTGAGAGTGTAGATATCTCTTATACCTCTTCAAGATATTGATTTTGTTTCTTTCAGTTGTATATCCATAGGAGTAATTTGCTGGATCATATTGTAGTTCTATTTTAAAATTTTTGAGAAATTTTCATACCATTTTCCATAGCAAATGTACCAATTTACATTCCCACCAATAGCGCATAATGGATCCTTTTTTCTCGACATCCTTGTTAAAACATGTTATCTCGTGTCTTTGAACAGCAATTCTAACAGGTGTGATATTACTGTGGTTTTGATTTCTGTTTCCCTGATGATAAGTGATGTTGTGAACCTTTTCATATTCCTGTTGGCTATTTGTATGTCTTCTTTGGGAAAAAAAAATCTATCGAAGTCCTTTAGCCCATTTTTTAATCAGATTTTTTTTTTTGTGGGGGATGCTATTGAATCATATGAGTTACTTATATATTTCGCATATTAACTTCTTATCAGATATATGGTTTGAAAATGTTTTCTCCTGCTCCATAGATTTTCTTTTCACTCTGTTGTTTCCTTTACCGTGTAGAAACATTTAAGCTCAATATAGTCCCTTTTGTCTACTTTTGCATTTTTTGTCTGTGATTTTGTTGTCATATCCAAAATGCACTGACCAATGTTAAGGAGCTTTTTCCCTATGTTTTCTTTTACGAGTTTTGTAGTTTCAGGTCTTAAATGTAGCTCCTGTTCTTCAACTTTTTGGAAGAATTTGAGTAGAATAGGCGTTAATTCTTCTTTAAATGTCCAGTAGAATTCACCAGTGAAAGCATCAGGTTTTGGGCTTTTATTTGAAGGAAGACAATTTGTTTACTGATTTCTCTCCTTATTCAATATAGGTCTGTTTAGATTTTCATTTCTTCATGATCCAGTCTGGGAAGGTTTTATGTTTCTAAAAATTTATTCATTTTTTTAGGTTATTCACTTTGTTGACATATAACTTTTCTTTTCTTTTTTTTTGAGATGAAGTCTCACTCTGTCACCTAGGCTGGAGTGCTGTGGCGCAATCGCAGCTCACTGTAACCTCTGCCTCCTGGGTTCAAGTGATTCTCCTGCCTCAGCCTCCCAAGCAGCTGGGACTACAGGTACAGGCCACCACATCCAGCTAATTTTTGTATTTTTAGTAGAGACAGGTTTCACCATATTGGCCAGGCTGGTCTCAAACTCCTGACCTCATGATCTGCCTTCCTTGGCCTCCCAAAGTGCTGGGATTACAGGTGTGAGCCACTGTGCCCAGCCAACATTTAATTTTTCATTATACTGTCATGATCCTTTGTATTTCTGTAGTAACAGTTATAATATCTTCTCTTTCAATTCTGATTTTATTTACTTATTTTCTCCTTCTTCATTAGTCTAAGTTTTGTCCATTTTTTTTATCTTAGTAAATAAACTTAGCTTTTAAACAGTAAAACCAACTTGTAGTTTCACTGAATTTTTTTCTGTTGTTATTTCAGTCTCAATTTCATTTATTTCTGCTCTGATCTTTATTTACTTCTTTCTAATAACTTTAGGTTTTGTCTATTCTTTTTTTATTTCCTTGAAGTATAAAATTAGGTTGCTTATTTGAGATTATTTTTCTTCATGTAGGCGTTTTTCTCAATAAACTTTCCACTTCAATCTGCTTTTGCTTTATCCCACAAGTTTTGGTATGTTCTATTTCCGTTGTCATTTGTCTCAAGGTATTTTTTGATTTCTCTTTTAATTTCTTCTTTGATCCATTTCTTCTTCAGGAGTATGTCACTTAATTTGCACATATTTGTGAATTTTCCAATTTTCCTGTTACTGATTTATATTTTCATACCATTGTGAAAAGATACTTGATATGATTTAAACCTTGAATTTGTTAAGACTTGTTTTGTGGCCTAACATCTGCTCCATCCCAGAGAAATTCCATGTGTGATTGAGAAGAATGTTTATTCTGCAGTTGTTGGATGAAATGCTCTGTATATATATATATACGCTAGGTCCACTTGGTCTGCAGTGTTGTTCAAGTCCACTGTTTCCTAATTGATCTCTGTCTGGTTAGTAAATACATTGTTGACAGTGTGGGTATTAATGTCTTCTAATATTATTGTATTGCTTTTTATTTCTCCTTTCAATTCTGTAAATATTGCTTTGTACATTTAGGTGCTATATATAATGTTGGTTGCATAAATATTTGCGATTGTCGTATCTTCTTGATAAATGAACTCTTTTTACATTATATGAATTTCCTTGTCTCTTGTGACAGTTTTTGACTTAAAGCCTATTGATACAAAAAAAGCCTCCACGAATGTGTTTCTGTTACCATTTGTGCAGAATATGTTTTTTCAGCCTTTCATTTTTAGCCAATTTAAAGCAAAGAAAGAGAAGTATATAGTTGCATTATGTTTGGTTTTTGTTTTTCAATTTATTCATTTTGGTTGGATAACAATTTGTTTACACTTAAATTAATTATTAATATGTAAGTACTTACTATTACCATTTTTTATTGTATTGTGACCATTTTGTAGTTCCTTTTGTCATTTCTTGCTGTGCCTTTGTGATTTGATGACCTTTTGTGTCTGTATGCTTTGATTCTTTCTCTTAATTATTTGTGTACTTACTACAGTTTTTTTTGTGTGTGCATGATTATCCTGAGGCTTACATAAGCTATCTTATAGTTATAATATTCTATTTTAAGGATAAATTAACTTTGATCACACACCAAAATATCTATACATTTAATTCTACCTCATAACATTTTAGGTCATTAATGTCAACCTCTTTTTTGTTTTGTATATTCATTAACAAATTATTCTGATTATACTCATTTGTAATATGCTTGGTTTTGAACTTTTACATAAAAATTGAAAGTAATGTAAGGACCACTATTGCAATATTAGAGAATTTTGAGTTTGACTATATATTTACATTTGCCAGTGAATTGTATACATTCATATGTTTTTATAATGTGAATTAGCACCCTACATTTCAGCTTCAAGAACTTTCTTTAGGCAAGGCGCGATGGCTCATGCCTGTACTCCCAGCACTTTGGGAGGCCGAGACAAGTGGATCACGAGATCAGGAGATCGAGACCATCCTGGCTAACACGGTGTAAACCTCGTCTCTACTAAAATACAAAAAAATTAGCTGGGCGTGTTCGTGGGTGCCTGTAGTCCCAGCTACTCCAGAGGCTGAGGTAGGAGAATGGTGTGAACCCGGTCGGCAGAGCTTGCAGTGAGCCGAGATCATGCCACTGCACTCCAGCCTGGGCTACAGAGCAAGACTTTGTCTCAAAAAAAAAAAAGAAAAAAAAAGAAAAAAAAAAAAAGAACTTTCTTTAGCATTTCTTGTAAGGCAGATATCATAGCCATTAACTCTCTTAGCTTTTGTTTGTTTGAGAAAGTCTTTATCTCTTCTTCCCTTCTGAAAAATTGCTTTGCTGGATATAGTATTCTTGGCTGACAGGTTTTTTTGTTTTTCTTTCAATATTTTGAATATATTACCTTACTCTCTTAGAACTTGCCAAGTTTTTGCTGAGAAATCTGCTTATAGTCTTATAAGGTCCGACTTATGTGATAAGTCTGTTTTTATTTATTTGTTTTCAAAACTGTCTTTAATTCTTGACAATTTCTAATGTGTCTTGATGTAGATCTCTTTGGGTTCTATGTATTTGGGAATCTTTGAGCTTTGTGAATCTGGATGTCCATTTGTCTTCTCCCATTTGAGAATTTTCCAGCCATTACTTCTTCTACTAAAAATATAAGAAATAGCTGGGTGTGGTGGCATGTACCTGTAGTCCCAGCTACTTGGGAGGCTGAGACACAAGAATTGGTTAAACCCAGGAGGTAAAAATTGCAGTGAGCTGAGATCGCCCCACTGTACTCCAGCCTGGGTGAGAGAGCAAGACTCTGTCTCTAAACAAAACAAAACAAAACAAACACAAACAAAAAAATATTATTCCCTTTTCTCTCAGTCTTCTCATTTTGTTCATGTGTTGTTTTGCTATTTTAATTTAGTTTTCTATCTGTGTGTTTTTTTTTTTTTTTTGGTAGTTCACTGAACTTTTTTTAAGAGAATTGTTTTGAATTATTTGTCAGTCAGTTCATAGAGCTCCATTTCTTTTAGAGTCAGTTATTGGAGGTTTAGTAGGTTTATTTTATTTTTTTGTCTGTGTGTGTGTGTGTGTGTGTGTGTGCGTGCGCACACGTCCTGGTGGTAGTGGTTATGTTTCTGTTTGTTTTTTTTTTTTGACAGAGTTTCTCTATCACCCAGGCTGGAGTGCAGTAACGCTATCTCAGCTCATGGCAAACTCTGCCTCTCAGTCCCAGGTTCAAGCAATTCTCCTGACTCAGCCTTCCAAGTAGCTGGAATTATAGGCATGCACCACCACACACCTAACTTTTTTTTTTTTTTTTGTATTTTTAGTAGAGATGGGATTTTGCCATGTTGCCCAGGCTGGTCTTAAACTCTTGAGCACAAGTGATCCACCCACCTTGGCCTCCCAAAGTGCTGGGATTATAGGCATGGGCCACTATGCCCAGCCTCCCTGATTGTTTATCATCCTGTGTCCTTGCATTGGTATCTGAGCCTTTTAGGAAATAGTCACCCCTTTTAATCTTTAGAGGTTTACTTTGGCAGAAAAAAAAAGTCTTCTTTTCAGTCAGTCCAGCCTGGGGTTTGTGATGGGACACATGGTGGCAGCTGCAACCATACAGGGTTTGCTGTCATGGTCTCTGTAGATAAGATTATTGCTTAACTCTGAGATCAGGTGGAGCTGCTGGCTAAGCTTTGTGGTGGGTCGGATCTACTGTCTGGACTCTTTGTTCAGGTGGGGCTGCTGCATGAACTCCATAATAACCTCTGGTCGGATAGGGTCACAGCTGTTCTCCCAGGCCAGGCAGTGCCACTAGCTGGACTCTGTAATTAATTGGGGCTGCAGGCTCCACAATTGCCCCTGATCAGATGAGGCCACAGACTGTAATCCTTGTTTTGAGGTGCCATTAATTGGACTCTGCATTCATACAGGGCCACAAGCTGGACTTTGAAATCATACAGGGACCAGACCATAATCCACAGTTGGATAGGGTCATTGCTGGGCTCTGCTATAGGCTGTGCTTCATGGTTTGACAAGATCACTGATTCTGCTCATGATTGGGCAAAGCCATCAACTTGGCTTGCAGATGTGCAGAGCTGCTGGTTGGCCCCTCTGGTTGGGTGCAACCACCAGCAGGTATACAGTGCCACTGCCAAGATTCACACGCTACTTCTTTGTTCCTAACTGACCCCAGGTGTTCCAGACTTGTCAGTTCCCCCAGTGATTCTCATAAGACAAACACAGAAATGTGTCTCCCAGGAAGTACCTCGAAATGCTGGGGAAGCTAGATACCCACCTTGGCCTCTCCATTGGTCCAGGGCATTCCTCTCATTGTGGCACTGTGCCAGCCCAGGGGAGGGGTAAATAGGGTCAAAATGAAACCATTCCTTTTACCTTTTTAATTCAACTTTTTCCATGTTGTTTTGTTGCAGGGGGTGCTTTAGCCTCACCTCACATTCTGGAATATTCACTTAAGTGTTCTTGTCTGTGGATAGTTGTTAATCAGTATTTCTATGTGGTAGACTAAGGCTGATGACCCCTTATTCTGCCATCTAACTGATGTAACTCTCACATTAGAATTTGCTATGAGGCAGTTATAAGCTCCTATTAAATTGATGGTAATGAGGATTTTTTTCTGAATAGTTTCTATTTCATACATTTTTCATTGTATTGATTACTTTTTATTGGTCTCTATCTTCCATATTAGAGGCTTTCTTTGGATATTTGGTAATATTGGCTGTCTTCTCATGATTAAGAAAGTTAAGATATAATATGAAACTATGAAAACTTAAGTAGTATTTATTTACTTTGGGCTTCAAAGTGTACTTTACTGGGCAGGTCATTTTGGGGGAATTCCTTACATAAGTATTTTTTGGTATATCTTCTTTGATTAGTCAGGTTCCCCAGAGAAAACTTTTTAAACTTCTACTAGAAAGTAAAACTTCAAGTATTGATACTTTGAGAGTTTGTATTCTGGAAAAAGTGTTGAGATTCTATGAGTTAAGCATTTTATATACGTATATCACAAATTTGAGGTGCAAATCAAGTTAGTTTCTAAACTTTTCACTGCCAGTTTACAATTTTTCTGTCCCAGGTTTGGTAAATCGCTTTCCGCTCATCCATCAAATTTCCAGCTTCCACAATGTTGTTGCTGGTTTCTTTTCTTCTGCTCTTCCCACTTCATGGGTTTATGTTTAAATAGCAAACAAACACGCAAGAATGCCATTGTAGTTTTAGGGTGTTTGGGAGGAAAAACATTTACATAAATTTTTTCAATCTTCATTCTTAACTTGAAACCATTTCTGTCTTGAATACAAATCATTCCAGCTTTTCCTTTCACCACTCAAAACAAACTGCATTTATTGAGGTCACTAATTGTACTAGCCCATTTTCACACTGCTGATAAAGACATACACAAGACAGGGCAATTTACAAAAGAAAAATGTTTATTGGACTGGTGAGTTTATTGGCCTGGAGAGGCCTAACAATCATGGTGGAAGGTGAAAGGCATGCCTCACATGATGGCAGACGAGAGAAGAGAGCCTGTGCAGGGAAATTTGCCCTTTTAAAACCATCAGATTGTGAGACTTATTCACTAACACGAGAACAGCACAGGAAAGGCCTGCTCCCATGGTTCAGTTACCTCACATTCTGTCCCTCCAACAACACCTGGGCATTCAAGATGAGATTAGGGTGGGGACACAGCCAAATCATATAATTCCACCCCTGTCCCCTCCCAAATCTCATGTCCTCATATTTCAAAACCAATGATGCCTTCCCAACAGCCCCCCAAGTCTTAACTCATTTCAGCATTAACTCAAAAGTCCACAGTCCCAAGTCTTATCTGAGACAAGGCAAGTCCCTTCGGCCTCCGCGCCTGTAAAATAAAAAGTAAGTTAGTTACTGCCTAGATACAATGGGGGTACAGAAATTGGGTAAATACAGCCATTCCAAATGGGAGAAACTGGCCAAAACAAAGGGGCTAAAGGCCCCATGCAAGTCCAAAATCCAGCAGAGCAGTCAAATCTTAAAGCTCCAAAATGATCTCCTTTGACTCCATGTCTCACATCCAGGTCACACTGATGCAAGAGGTGGACTCCTGCAGCCTTGGGCAGTTCCACCTCTGTGGCTTTGCAGGGTATATCCCCCTCCTGGCTGCTTTCACTGGCTAACATTGAGTGTCTGTGGCTTTTCCAGGTACACAGTGCAAGCTGTCAGTGGATCTACCATTCTGGGGTCTGGAGGACATTGGCCCTCTTCTCACAGCTCCACTAGACAGTGCCCCAGTAGGGACTCTGTGTGGGGGCTCCAGCCCCCATTTCCCTTCCACATTGCCCTAGCACAGGTTCTCCATGAGGGCACCATCCCTGCAGCAAACTTCTGCCTGGGCACCCAGGTGTTTCCATACATCCTCTGAAATCTAGGCTGAGGTTCCCAAACCTCTGTTTTTGACTTCTGTGCACCCACAGGCTCAGCACTACATGGAAGCTGTCAAGGCTTGGGGCTTCCACCCTCTGAAGCAACAGCCCAAGCTGTACCTCGGCCCCTTTAGCCATGGCTAGAACAGCTGGGACGCAGGGCACTAGGTTCCTAGGCTGCACACAGCACAGGGACCCTGGGCCCAGCCCACAAAACCACTTTTTCTTCCTAGGCCTCCAGGCCTGTGATGGGAGGGACTGCCATGAAGACCTATGACATTTCCTGGAGACATTTTCCCTATTGTCTTGGATATTAACGTTTGGCTCCTCATTACTTATGCAAATTTCTGCAGTCAGTTTGAATTTCTCCTCAGAAAATGCGATTTTTGGCCGGGTGGCTCACGCTTGTAATCCCAGCACTTTGGGAGGCTGAGGTGGGCGGATCACGAGGTCAAGAGATCGAGACCATCCTGGCAAATATGGTGAAACTCCATCTCTACTAAAAATACAAAAATTAGCTGGGTGTGGTGGCGCGCACCTGTAGTCCCAGCTACTCAGGAGACTGAAACAGGAGAATTGCTTGAACCCGGGAGGTGGATGTTGCAGTAAGCCAAGATCACACCACTGCACTCTAGCTTGGTGACAGAATGAGACTCCATCTCAAAAAAAAAAAAAAGAAAGAAAGAAAAAGAAAAGACAAAAGAAAATGGGATTTTCTCTTCTATCACATTGTCAGGCTGTAAATTTTCCAAACTTTTATGTTCTGCTTCCTTTATAAAACTGAGTGCCTTTGGCCAGGGTGCTGTGGCTCACGGCTGTAATCCCAGCACTTTGGGAGGCCAAGGCAGGTGGATCACCTGAGGTCAAGAGTTCGAGACAAGCCTGCCCAACATGGTGAAACTCCACCTCTACTAAAAATATAAAAATTAGCTGGGTGTGGTGCCGTGCACCTGTATTCTGAGCTACTTGGGAGGTTGAGGCAGGAGAATCACTTGAATCTGAGAGGTGGAGGTTGCAGTGAGCAGGGGTCATGCCATTGCACCAGGAGCGAAACTCCGTCTCAAAAAAAAGAAAAAAAAAAATTGAGTGCCTTTAACAGTACCCAAGTCACCTCTTAAATCCTTTGCTGCTTAGAAATTTCTTCTGCTAGATACCCTCAATCATCTCTCTCAAGTTCAAAGTTCCACAAATCTCTAGGGCAGGGGCAAAATGACACCAGTCTCTTTCTTTGCTAAAATATAACAAGAGTCACCTTTGCTCCAGTTCCCGACAAGTTACTCATCTCCATCTGAGACCACCTCAGCCTGGATTTCATTGTCCACATCATTATAAGCATTTTGGTCTAAGCCATTTGACAAGTCTCTAGGGAGTTCCAAACTTTCCCTCACTTTCCCGTCTTCTTCTGAGCCCTCCAAACTGTTCTAACCTCTGCCTGTTACCCAGTTCCAAAGTCACTTCCACATTTTCAGGTATCTTTTCAGCAGTGCCCCACTCTCCCACTACCAGTTTACTGTATTAGTTCATTTTCACATTGCTGATAAAGACATACCCAAGACTGGGCAATTTACAAAAGAAAGAACTTTAATTAGACTTACAGTTCCACATGGCTGGGTAGGCGTCACAATCATGGCAGAAGGTGAAAGGCACATCTCACATGGTGGCGGACAAGAGAAGAGAGCTTGTGCGGGGAAACTCCCCGTTTTAAAACCATCAGATCTCCTGTGACTTATTCACTGTCATGAGAACAGCACAGAAAAGACCTGCCCCCATGATTCAATTACCTCCCACTGGGTCCCTCCCACAACACATGGGAATTCAAGATGAGATTTGGGTTGGGACACAGCCAAACAATATCACTAATGAATCTAAATTCATTTCTAAATTCAGTGATATTTTCTTAGTCATTTGGGCAGTGTGTAGCAGTGGCACAGTTAAATGCTCCATCTTTCTTAAAACACTTAAAACACTTTCTGAAATTGGCATTAAAATATATGTATGTATGTGTATATCTATCTATCTATCTCCTGGCTTTTCTTCTGACTCTTATGACTGCTCCTTTTCAGTCTATTTTTCAGCTTTCTTATCTCCTCATTCTTTAACCAGTGGAGTCTCCCAGGGATTAGTCCTTGGATTGCTTTACTTTTTTTTAGTTTCATTCTTTTTCTTCATATTCTTACCTAGTGTCATAACTTTAAATACTATTTGTATGCTAAAAGCGCACACATTTTTATTTTTAACCTTATCATATCCTCCTTGAACACCAAATTCACATATTCAATGTCTACTCTTACATGTGTAAAGGCATATTAAACATAACATCAAAAATACTGAGTTCTTGATCTCCTTTCTAAATTAGTTTCTCCAGAAATTGTCCCCATTATAATAAATTGTAAATGTGTTCCACCAGTTACCCAAGCCAAAGTTGAGTTGTCCTTGACTTCTCTTCCTCATAACATTTTTAACCTATCAGGAAATCTCATTGACTTTACCATAAAATATATCAAAAATCTGATCATTCTTACCACTTTAGGTGCTATAACCCTGATTTAAGCTACTATTTTTATATCTTGTATTATGTTTGTATTTTGTGTCACTCCAACCACATTGCTTTTGTAGTTTCTTGAACATCTTCTCTTGCGTCCATATGAGCACCTCTATACTTGCTGTTCTCTTTGCCCAGAATGTCTCCCAACCTCACCACTACTCTCCTCCAATAGTCATGCCTTCTTCAGATCTCCAGTGAAAAGTCAGTCATCTTCTCTGGCCAGGCACAGTGGCTCATGCTTGTAATACTAGCACTTTGAGAGGCCGAGCTGGGTGGAACACTTGAGGTCATGAGTTTGAGACCAGCCTTGCCAACATGGTGAAACCCCATCTCTTCTAAAAATACAAAAATTAGCTGGGAGCTGGGAGCAGTGGCTGGTGGCTGTAATCCCAGCTGCTTGGGAGGCTGAGGCGGGAGAATTGCTTGAACCTGGGAAGCGGAGGTTGCAGTGAGCCGAGATCATGACACTACACTCTAGCCTGGGCAACAAGAGCAAAACTCCGTCCCCCACCAAAAAAAAAGTCATCTTCTCGAAAAACACATCCTATTGAAAACTGCAACCCCTTATCTAAAATAGCAAGTCTCCCCATCCTTCTATCATTCTGCACTTCCACCCTTGCTTTCACTTTTTATCAATGCTAACATGTTACCAAATATGTTTATTTGTTTTGATTAATAACCACGTATTGTAAAATCCATGTGAATAATAATTTTTGTCTGTTTTGTTTACTGCTATGCCTCCAGTGTTTACAACATGTCCAGACACAGAATAGACTTTTAATAAATATATGTTGAGTACATAATTGAATGAAGAAGACTTCAAGGTAGATTAGTTCCATCTTCATTTTCCATGTGAGAAAATTGAAGCTCAGAATTAAGTGACTTGCCAAAGGCTTCAAAATTTCTTAATGTATATAGCACAATTTAATTCAGATCTCTCTGACTTCAGTGTCTCTGTTCGATCTGAAGAGTAAACTGCAACTGATAAGTAACTAGGATAAAAAGTAGAAATTGTCTAGTGGACTAAAGAACAAACAAATTTACTGGTGACTTTGTCAGCAGTAATCCCATAAAAGTAATAAGATAGAAGCCATAATGTAATGGTTCGGGAATAAATGTAGACAGTTGGCTATTTTTTTCAAGGTCATAAAAAAGAGGAAAAAAGGTATGTAAAGTGACTTTTAAGATGTGAGAATTATGAGTGTGTTTATATGCAAAAAATTATGAGCCAGCTAAGTGTAGATAAAGTGCTAAGGGAAGGAGGGGAGAAAAGTGATGAAGAAAAATTGCCAAGTGGATGGAAGAAATTGTGACAGGAAACAGGCAGAAAGGTTTTCTTTTAAAATAATATTTATAATTATAAATTATTGTATTCATTCAGTAAATATTTCTTAAGTTATAAGGCTCTAGGCCCTGTAACTAGGTCTTGGATATATAGTGGTGAATAAAAATGAGTAATATTACTGAGACTTACTCATTATCTCATCCTAGCCTCACAACAACCTTATGAGATAGATGCTTTTATTATCTTTTTTTTTTTTTTTTTTTTTTGAGACGGAGTCTTGCTCTGACTATCAGGCTGGCGTGCAGTGGCGCAATCTCGGCTCACTGCAACCTCCACCTCCCAGGTTCAAGCAATTCTCCTGCCTCAGCCTCCTGAGTAGTTGGTATTACAGGTGCATGCCACCATGCCCAGCTAATTTTTGTATTTTTAGTAGAGATGGGGTTTCACCATGTTGGTCAGATTGGTCTTGAACTCCTGACCTGATGATCTGCCCTCTTTGGCCTCCCAAAGTGCTGAGATTACAGGCATGAGCCACAGAGGCTGGCCTATTATACTCATTTTTTTTTTAATAGAGGAGGAGTCTGAGTGTTAGAAAAGCGAATGGACTTGCCCAAAGTAACACATTTAGAAAGTGTTGGTGTTGGGTGGCTGAGGCAGGAGAGTTGCTTGAACCCGGGAGGCGGAGGTTGCAGTGAGCAGAGATCGCACCACTGCATTCTAGCCTGGGAGATAGAATGAGACTCTGTCTCAAAAATAAACAAAAACAAACAAACAAACAAAAAATCAAGAAAGCGTTGGTGTCTGAATTCAAACCATAGCAGCCTGACACCACAATCTGTGCTTTTGATCACTTCTCTCCACAATTTGGGAAGAGAAAAGTCATTAAATATTTCACAAAGATCATTACACATTCTACAGAGAAATTTAACATAGGTTCATAAGATAGTTAAAGTCTTCGTAGCTATTTCGGGTGATCAGAGATAGCATCGCTGAGGGGGTGATATTTAGGCTATGATATATATGTTTTTTTCATTGTACTCACATATGAGTATAATAAAAAGTGCTAGAAGACTTTCCACTAAATGACTTGGAAAAGAGCACTCCAGGTACATGGGAGAGCTAGTGCTAGGAGATACATGGATTTAAGCTTTGTATAATTGGGAATTGGAAAATGTGTTGAGAAGTCTAATGTGTCTGGAGAAGTAAAGAGTGAGGATGAAAAACAGTGGAACTCCAGATCTCAGTCAGTTCACATAGTTATATAGTCCCCAGATCAGGCGCAAATTTGTGAGCCTGTGGAGTTTGAATGGTGTATTAAGTGCAAGAAAGCGTCATCAAAAAGTTTTAAGTATTTAATTAATGAATTTATGTTTTTGAGATATTAGTCTAATTTTAGGGGGACCGAGTGACTGGATTTCTTCATGCAAAGTAAAATAGAATTTCAGTTTAACTTCTGGTTTTAAACAAGTCTTTACAGACTTTTACAAGTAGTAGTTTATTCACTGCAAAAATAGAGTATAAATCCATCTCTACCTATCTTACTCAGTGACTATAAATACACTCAATTCATCTTCCCAATTTCGTGAAATTGAGAAATGGATAGAAGTTCCTGGAACAAAACATTGGGAGGAAAAGTAAATTCATCCCTTAATTTTGTCATAATTTACCATTTATGAAGTCCTGTGCTAAGTGCTAGAGGCAAAAGAGCCCTAAGAACAACATGGCAAATTCCCATGTAGGGAAGAAAGTGGGCTATTAAGTAGTTAATAAAACAGGAGCCAAAGGTTGATATTATAATCATTTGCTATATTTATCAACTGAATTAGAGTTACTAGTTTTAGAATGAAATGGAATTGAATAGGTTAAATTAAAAAAAAAGTACTTTGGCCATGTCATTAATAGTCACTTTGCAAAGACAAAATAAAAAGAATGAATTCCATGTAGAATCAAAATATAGTATATGGGGCCCACAGATGTAGCTAGTCCACATGACACTCCACACAGAAAAAACAAACAAACATATAAAACAGAGCAATACAGAACAAGCAAACAAAAAGACATAGGAGATAGTCTGAAGAATGACAGAATACAATGCATAAATGAATGCTATTCAGAAGAATACTTCAAAAAAGATGAAATGCAAGAATAATTATGTTAGGCGATTTGTTAAATCTTACTTTTTATGGAAATTCTTTCCATGTCATTCTCCTAGCAGACTAGGCTATGCTGTCCTCCAAAGCAAAGAACATTGCCATGGAAGATAATGTTGCATGGTGGTTAGGAGCATGAGCTTTGGTGGCTAAACAATAACACCACCAACAAAAGCTGTATTTAAACTCTGTCTATACAATTTGCTATCTGTGGAAACTTTAACAAGATAATCATCAACACAGTAACTCCTTTTCCAAAAGAAAGAACCAGGGGGACAGATATTTTAAAGCTAGAAAAGAACTTGAGACAATCAACAGTTAAGAAAATATTAGATAATATTGGAAATATAGGAGAAAATACTTTCAACCTATACATATGGTAAGAGATTACTACCCAAAATATATAAGGAACTCATGCAGCTCTATAGTAAAATAACAATCTGATTTTTTTAAATATGCAAAGGACTTGAATAGACATTTTATCAAAGAAGGCATACAAAGGTGCAACAGGCAAATGAAAAGGAGTTCAACACCACTAGTTATCGGGGAAATGCAAATCACAATAACCGTGAGATTTTACCTTATACCTGTTAGAATGGCTACTATCAAAAAGAAAAAAGATAACAGGGGTTGGCAAGAATGTAGAAAAAAGGGAAGCCTTGTGCACTGTTGGTGATAATATAAGCTGATACAGACATTATCAAAAACAGTATGAAGGTTCCTCAAAAAATTGAAAATAGAACAACCATATGATTTAGCATTCCTGTATCTGGGCATCTATCCAAAGGAAATGAAGTGAGAATTCTCCAAGACCTATCTGATATCCGCAGTCCCATGTTCATTGCAGTATTATTCACCAAAGCCAAGATACAGAAACAAACTAAATGCCTCTCAGTGGATGAATGAATGAAGAAAATGTTTATATACACAATGCAATATTTTTCAATCTTAGAAAAGGACATCCTGCCATTTGAGACAACATGGACAAAACTGGAGGACATCATGCTAAATTAAATAAGCCACACACAAAAAGGCAAATACAGCATCCTTTATATATGAATTTAAAATAGCCAAACTTACAGAATCAGAGAGTAGAATAATCGTTGCCAGGGACTGGAGGAGGAGGAAAGGGGGAGATGTTGGTCAAGGGATACAAAGTTTTAGTCACGCAAGATGGGTAAGTTCTGGGGATCTAATGTACAGCATGGTGACTATTGTTAGCCACACATGAAATACTTGAAAATGAGTAGATTATAAGTGCTCTTTTTTTTTTTTTTTTTTTTTTTTCTGAGACGGAGTCTTGCTCTGTTGCCAGGCTGGAGTGCAGTGGCACGATCTTGGCTCACTGTAACCTCCACCTCCCAGGTTCAAGTGATTCCCTTGCCTCAGCGTCCCGCGTAGCTGGGACTACAGGCGTGCGCCACCACGCCCAGCTAATTTTTTGTATTTTAGTAGAAACAGGGTTTCACACTTAAGTGTTCTTAACACATACACACACACACACACACACACACACACACGTAACTATGTGAAGTATTGGGTAAGTTAATTAGCTTAATGTGATGATCATGTCATAATGTATACATATGTTAAAACATCAAGTTGTACACCTTAAATACAGTCATGTGCTGCCTGATGATATTTTATACAATGACAGATCACCTATATGATGGCAATATCATAAGCTTTTTAAAGCAAACCTCTGCTTTATTTCTGCATGTGTTTCCCATTGCTCTCTGCTCTTCCTTATGCGTCTACATTGAAGTGGGAAAAGTTTCTCAAATAAAAGAAGGTATAATATCAAAAGAAATGTATAACATGGTGAGAACAACCGCAGACAAAAAAGCAGTAAAGTGCTGGGCATCTTTCTACACATAATTAGTGTTATATAAATATATGTATATATGTATAATCACATATATTTATGTGATTATACATATATTTGTTATTTATACATATATTTATGTTATTTATACATATACACATACATATTCATGTCTATGTCTGCATATCTCTATCTGTCTATCTATCTATATCTATTAGGACACACATACCATATTAGGCTATTGCCAAGTATATATAGAATCCTAAATGGGGTAAACCAGTCATTTACAATTATCATCTCAGTGTGTTTCTTTTGAATACCCTTCATATCTATTTGCTTCAAGAGAGAACTCAAGTTTAAATGGGAACAGATGCCAGTGATTAAACTAAATTCAAAGTTTGGGGTCCTCTGATCCTCAAATATCAATACCTGCTTCATACTTCAGTGATGTTTGTTGGAACATCAATATGCAGGAAAGCACACTATAAATGGTGAAGCAGCATTTTACCTTGCTCTATGGCGAAGTCCCAAATATATTGGCCTTGTTTTTGTCACATCAGACATTTGTGCCAAAACACGAAGTCTATTAAAGATATTTGCCGTATCCATAGAGTGATTTGAACCCTTTTAAAATTTGCTCATCGCTAACCTAATGCATAATAAGCATCCGATTAAAATCATTTTAGAATTGGCATATAAAAGATGTCGCCATTACAGCCATGTTTTCAGGAGTGAGAAAAATTCCTGCTGAAGCTACAGCTGGAAAATAATTTGCTGAAAAATCGGCTGAAGCGGGAGGTTCCAGCTCATTGAAACTCAATTTATTATATGCTTAAATGACTCCTGGAACAGTGGAATATGTAGGCAGTACAACTAGACAAGGCAAATTCTGTGCTGATAACAAATGTGTAAAACTCCAATACCTATTGGAGAAGTGATAGCAGCCAAAATCCTATACTTGCCAACTAGTAGAAAATGTGAACACGCTGTTAGATAATTAACATTTTTCTTATTATGCAGGACTGGGTAGTGAACATGTAACTCAACTTTTTCCCCCCTGGATACGTTGCAACTTGAAAAAGCATATGATCAAAGCAAAGCACAGTTTTCTGAGAAAGCTTGGGAATATATGCTGTAAAGTTGTGATCTATTAGCCTGTGGCTTGAGTGTTTGGGCAGCTATTTAACATCCTGATTCCCATTTGCTGAATATACAGGTGACTACAGCTCTACGGTAACAGATCTATAATCTCTCAGGGAGAGGTATCTGGGACTTCAGTTAATAAGGTGGTAGCTTAGACATTTTATCTTGCACAGTTCTATTAAATTTGAACTTAATAGTAGTGAAGCACTTGCTATGCTGATGTTGAAACCTACTTGCTCTGTCTTACTATTGTCTATGTGTAGATAACACTGGAATCGAAATTCTTAAAGCTATTTAACTTAATGTAGATTTCAAAATGGCCAATAATAATAATTAATAATAGTGTGACATTTTGAGCACTTATATGCTTTTAAATAAAATATTTTGTAAAAGTTGATTTGATTTTCTAGTATTTTATGTAAAATGGAATTTAGTTCCTGATGATGGCCAAACAATGAGAAAGTGATATGATCCAATGCTTTCCAGATGTAACACATGGAGTAAGCATTTAACACACATATTTCATATGTGGATAATTGAGAATATATTTGCAAACAGGAATTTTAGTTTACCTTTCTCTTTACCCAGAAGATACGTTATTTTGAAAATAATTATCTGATTAAGAAAGGTAGCCTTATAATACAGCTTTGTTTAGTCATTGCCCAAAAGTTTGGCACAGACTAACTTTCAAATTGCAAATTGGTGTGTTTAGTAAACATTTCTTGGAATTAGTTAAACTTGCACTTATTTTCTTTTCATCAGTTTATCAAGACAGAAAGGCCTCAATGGTCTTTATTCTCCCTTTCTGCCTGTCTCTCACTCTCTCTCTCTCTCACACACACACACAAACATACTTTTTTTTTCTTTTTTCGCTAAACTTAAACATATAGCCAAGAAAATCATCACGATGACTAACTAGCCACCATGGCCCTAAACACAGCCATTGATACCATCAGTTGCTTTTTATGATGATAGTGATGATTAGAATTTGACTTCACTTAAACTTTTTGAAGGTGAAGATCAGAATGTTTAGTAGCTAGACAAACATATAAACCACAGGCTAGTAAACTGTAATTCCACAATTTATCATACAGAATGACTCTTTTTAAAAATGTTTGCTCAGAAAACTGTTTTATCGTGATCACCATCTTTGTCATCTCCTCTTCCTATTTATAACTTATTTTGCATCTACCATACACCTGATCCTCTACCAAGAGTTTCCTGTACATAATTTTATGCTCAATATAGCTCCTACCATCCCATGAACCTACCTTCCTTTCCCGGAGTCCTTCAGCTTCCCTGGACTTTTAAAAGTTCCTCAGTTTCTCATCCTCTCACTTAATTCTGAGGTTGCTATACCCTCAGTAAGTATTGTTCTCTTCTATATCACCTGCTATTTCCTCGATAGGCTGTCATGTTTTGGCCTTTAATTTTATATAATTACGGAAACATCTCCTACATCCATTGACAAATTTAGATTCCCTAAACTTCTTTTTGTAATTATTTACATGATCATTTATGTAATGCACGTTTCCTCCATAGTAATGAAGCTCTGTAAGGGTAGGAACTCTCTAACTTAGGCAACTTATATACCGCCTTTGCCCAGAATAATATCAAATACATAGCTGAATATTATCTTAAATATGTAAACCATTTCATTTATTCACCATGTTTAATTCTCCCAACTCCCTATCTGGTATGATTATGTTTAGTTAACAGACAGGAAGTAAAGTTAGACAAGTTAAATAAATAAATAATTTCTGAGTAGTAAGACAAGGATTCTGTCGTCAATTTTTTGGCTCTAAATTCCAGGATTTTTAGCCTTAGATTATGTTTACTGAATATCTGCTAAGGCATTTATTCACCTAACATCAAGTGTCAGACCCCATGCTAAAGGTGAAATTCAAAGATGGCTAAGACTTCATCTTTGCCTTCAAGTAGTGTAGATTGTAATGGATCAAATGAAAAAGCTTAAACATTTCCTATGGGAAAATAGTCCAAATTTTGATTGAAATTTCAAATACATTTTTCCTTCCCACACAGATGATGAAGTTCATCTTCAGGGAATTTCTAGAAAATGAAGCCATTAAAAACTTGATACCAGAGATGGTATCAATTTTGATCCTAAATGAGAAAAATGCAAGATGTGTAAAAAAGAGGATTGTTGTCACAATAACTTATAATTAGGAAGGTGACACCTTCCTCTTTCATAATAATGACCAGAGACAAGAATTTGTCAATTCAACAATGCTAAGTAAATTTGAAATTAGATTCTAAAATTTGGAAGTTATTGTAAAGTTGTGTGTTTTATAATATATGTGAGCAATATATATGTAGCATAAAAATTACATATTTTATAATATATATTCGCTAAAATAAGGTATGTCTTGTTACCATTTTGTAGCATCTCATATCAATAATAATAAAAGATACTAATAAGTGATTACTGATATTTCTCTTTAATTGGCATTTTGTCTTCATATTCCAAATTGTTTTATTTGTTTGAAAAAAATGGGGCCCGGCATGGTAGCCAAGGCCTGTAATCTCAATGCCTTTGCAGGCCAAAACAGGAGGACCACTTGCAGCCAGGAATACAAGACCAGCCTGAGCAAAATAGTGAGATACCCATCTCAACAAAAAAATTTAAAAATTAGCTGGGTATGGTGGCACATGCCTGTAGTACCAGCTACTTGGGAGGCTGAGGCAGGAGGATCACTTGAGCCCAAGAGTTTAAGGCTGTAGTGGGTCAGGCTGCAGTGAGCCATCTATCTTACCACTACACTCCAGCCTGGGGAACAGAGTGAGACCCTGTGTCTAAAAAAAGGGGGTAAGGTGGTGAAAAGTAGAGAAAAATGGGAAATGGGCCACAAAAATATTAAGTTTGTGAATAAGTTTTGAGATTCATGATTTATGTGTGAGTTCAGTCTAATTTTTAGAATGCCCAACTTACACTCTGTTTCCTCTCAAAATTACAGCAAAACTCCAGAAATATCCACAATCTATGCTTAAAAAATTATGAAATATGACTTAATATTCTTCTTTAACATGAAAAAGATGGTTACAGTAAAAATGAAATGCCCTCTTTACCCTCTGTCACTACGGAGTTCACCTTCCTTCACAGGGGTTAGATTTATTTTCTTGTGTATTTTTGCAGGGCTTTTTTTCACAGTGCATTTACAGAAATACAGAATATATAGTTTAGGGTTTTGTGTGTGGGTGTGTGTGAATCTGTGTATGGTTTTACATAAATGTTCTTGAATAATAGGTTTGTACTTTTGTTTCAGTTTAAATTATCTCTTGGAGAAATTCCTTTTTATATATCATATATATATTACTTTATATATTATACACTATATGTAATTATCTATAATACATACTATATATATTGCAAACTTGCAGATAGATTTTATTACATCTCTTTCAAGCTCATGGATACTAGCTTGCATTACAGACAATAATTTATTAAAGCATTAGCAGGGAATGGTGGCTCACGCCTGTAATCCCAACACTTTGGGAGGCCCAAGTGGGACGGTCCCTTGAGCCCTGGAGTCAGAGACCAGCTTAGGCCAGGTAGTGAGACCCCCACACAACCAAAAAATATATATACATAGAGAGAGGGAAAATTAGCCTGGCATGGTGGTGTGCACCTGTCATCCCAGCTTACTTGGGAGGCTGAGATGAGAGGATCACTTGTGCCCAGGAGGTTGAGACTGCACCAAGCCATCATTGTGTCACTCTACTCCAGACCGGGTGACAGAGAGAGACCTTGTATTAAAAAAAAATTAAAAATAAACACAAATTAAAGTTTTATTCTATTGATAGAATTTACTATATTTCCTTTTCATATAGATAATAAGAATGGTGAACATCTTTGTACTTGCCTAGAGTATAAGTATTTCTCTATAAGAAATCTAGAAGCAGAATTGCTGAGTAAAGAGAATGTGCTTTCAAACTTTTGATAGATACTTAAAAATTGGGTTTCAAGTATACGTGAGAGTTGATTTCTTTATGCCTGAGTCAACATTAGGTATTTTCACTCATTCAGATATTCCATTGTTTTAATTTGCATTTTTCCAATCATTTATACTTGTTAGCCATTTGAATTATTTCTCCTTTGATAAATTTGATGTTCATTTTTTAATATTTTTATGAGATCAATTGTCTTTATTCTATTGAATCCTAGTTCCTCATATATTCTGGATATGCATATATATATATAAGAGAGACAGGGATTATGTATGTTTATGAGACAGGTAAAGGGAAATGTTGCAAATATTTTATTTTATACGCTTACTTTCATTAAGGTTGATGGCACCTTGCTCAGTGGAAGGCTGGTAAATTTACAGTAATAATATTATTTGTCAGATATTGAATGTTACAAAGATAATAGATACTGAACTATGTTCTTACATCTATCTATATTTTTAATTAAACTCTTTCAGATAGGAATTTATATTTACACTTTACAATCATGAAAACTGAGGCTTGGTGGAATGATATGATTTACC
The DNA here is from genome assembly GCF_000001405.40 of Homo sapiens. Taxonomy (NCBI): domain Eukaryota; kingdom Metazoa; phylum Chordata; class Mammalia; order Primates; family Hominidae; genus Homo; species Homo sapiens. Next base: position 165,455,631 of record NC_000005.10, read on the forward strand.
TAAAGTCAAATATTAGAAAGTAAAAGAGTCAGAATTTCAATCAGGGTGTGCTGGCTCTCCTCATTCCACTATGCAACTGATATCTACGTAGCTCATGATGTTATCTATATCTTACAGCTACATATATGTTATACATAGCTATTGTTATAGCTGTATTATCTACACCTATATCTATGAATTCATTATGTCTTAATAATTTAGGTTTCTCCTAAATTAGTTTTTACCTGTTTGGTGTTACGTTAAATTATGTGTCTTTGAAAATTTTAAGTTAGTGTAGAAAATGCTGTATTTCACTACAATTAAAGTGTACTATTGTAGTACCAACCAGTTTCCATTAGAAAGTAGACTGTTTAAGTTGCAGTTATGCTTAAGGCAAAACAAGTAGGTAGGTGTGGCTTTGTTTCATCTTTCTATACTTCCCATTGTGAACAGTACTTCTCTTAAGCTCACACTATTCCTCCAGCCTAAAACCTCCCTACTTTCCCTCAGAATTCATATGAATCCCTCCAACCTCCTCCCCCTTATACCACACCATGATAGAGTAGGCTCTCACATACACCTGCTTTCGAGGGCCTAACATTACAATCCTAGACTTGTATAACTTTAGAAACCTGCCAGAAAATGAATGTAAAAGCCAGAGAACTATCAGGCTTGGCTGTTTAGGGTAACTCGATATTGTGAGCCTTTCAAAAGAGGCCAGTGGTAAAGAGTGGCAATGGTGGGCTTCAGAGTTGTTCAGGCCATGATTTCATTTATTTTTATTTTTTTAACTTTGATTTTAGGTTCGGGGTACACATGCAGGTTTGTTACATAGGTAAATTGCATGTCAGGGGGGTTTGGTGTACAAATTATTTTGTCACTCTGGTAATAAGCATAGTACCCAATAGGTAGTTTTTCAGTCCCCTCCCACCCTTCACCCTCAGGTAGGCCCCAGTGTCTGTTGTTCCTTTCTTTGGGTCCATGTGTTCTCACTGTTTAGCTTCCAAATATAAGGGAGAACATGTGGTATTTGGTTTTCTGTAATAACCAGTTAGCAACATGATGACAGGATCAAAACCACACAGGCCATGATTTTGGACACATAACCATATAACCTCTCTTCTCCTGTCCTCTCATCTGTAAAAATAAAGATTGTCATAATTAATTTTAGTATTTAAGGAAATAGTTTGATATTGCAGGGATAGAGAAGACTACAGTCAACATTGATGATGATGATTATTATATAGATAGTTTGAAAAAAGTTACAGAAATCTTGACTGTCTTTTTTCCTCCCAACCCATGTCTTCCCTCCTTGAACTTGGTTCCATATAACCATTTTCTTGGCCTCAGCTTACACATCTTTTCATCAAGAAGTTCTACGCAGGCCTTTCACGCTGTCTCTCAATTCCTGGATGCACTGTACATTTCATTTCATTGAACATGCTACATTAAAATTATTTATTTACTATCCGAATCCTTCTCTAGACTTTAAGTTCCATGAGGGCAGGGACTTTGGCAGTTTTTGTTATTGTTGTTGCTTTCTTGCTATATCCCTCATCATGCAAGCACACTATGCAAATTTTGTTAAATTTAAAAACGAATACAGGCATAAATAGATGTGCTGAGGCATAAATGGATGTATGTCTGAATGAGTGGACAGTGAATGAATAAATGGTTACACGATTGGAAACATGAGTGAATGGATAGGCAATCAACTTAGCACAGAGACTTAGAAATGATTGCAATGTCAGTTACAATGATATGAAGTGGAGAATATATTTTTGGATTGGCCTTTGAAATCCTTTAAACCATACCAAATGGCATTCTTTCATATGATTCTGACCCTGACTGCTTCAGTGAGAGAAAATTCAACCAAGTTGGCAATATAGTGAATTTTACTTGGCATGTGGCAAACAGAGTCTAGGGAATAAATAATATGTCACACTAGGCCTGCATTTTCCTCTCAATACCTTAGGAAAACACTTTTATAAACACAGTTCTACCTCTACCTGCTACTTTCACTTAGCATAAAGGTTAAAATATGAGATGTTTCACTTCATATATTGCACATTTCATTATTCTACATTATAAACTCAGTGAATTCTTTGGAGGTGATTTATTATGCAATTTAATTTGATATTGAAAATCCTCCCAAAAACAATCTACAAACTTGCAAAGAATTTTAAGTAATACATCTTGTTTAATGTGTGTGCTGATTTACCCAGACCATTGAAATAAAGTTTGTTTCATTTACCCAGACCATTGAAATAAAGGCATTTGATTGTTAGAAAAACTGTAAATAGTCCACAGTGTTTGGTATATTTCCGGATATTAAAACTTATTAAAACTATTGTTCAGCATGACTTGACACCACTGAGATTTGACAATGGGCCATATCTACATCAGAATAGCTCTGTGGATACAAGAGCAAAGGGAAATGTTATCCACCACAGCTGTTGTGCTGACCCCTACTGGCTAAGTTTAAGAAGAGTGAAAGAACAACTTTTTTCCTAAAGTGGACCTTTCCTGGATTAATTACTCACATCCAATCTTCATTACGTTTCATCTGTCATTCATCAGTAATAATTCCCTGTACAACACGGTTGAATGCATGTGAGCTTGTCAGCCTCATTTTGTATAATTAATGATGATTGGACATACGAATTTTAACAATTTTGAGACGT